>NC_000001.11:210305799-210457314 GCF_000001405.40 Homo sapiens
GTCTTGCTCTGTTGCCCAGGCTGGAGTGCAGTGGCATAATTTTGGCTCACTGAAACCTCTGCCTCCCAGGTTCAAGCGATTCTCCTGCCTCAGCCTCCAGAGTAGCTGGGATTATAGACGTGCGCCACCACGTCCAGCTAATTTTTGTACTTTTAGTAGCGGGATTTCACCATGTTGGCCAGGCAAACTCCTGGCCTCATGTGATCCATCCGCCTCAGCCTCCCATAGTGCTGGGATTACAGGCGTGAGCCACCGCGCCTGGCCAAAACCTCCCTTTTTAAAAAACCAATAATAATCTGTTAATCTAAATGCATACAGAAACACAACTTATGAGTTGGCCATTTTTTTCTTGCTATGGAAAATTAGATAACAACTACTGAACAAGCTCACAGATAGTAACTTGGAAATATACTTAAAACAGAGGTACATATGATCGTTTACTACTATTTTTCTTATTTCCAATAGATAGAATCACTATAAATGTCCCACATTAAGATTTGTGTTCGTTCATTTCTGGTGTGTCCAAAAGGAATAAAACAGTATTCCCAAACATTTAATATTTTAATTGTTTTGTTATTTTCAATGGGTTTTAGAAATAAATCACTTACTCTGGCCTCATCCATTAGTACAAACTTATTACTGCTTCAAATCATCTTTTGGCTAGATTGTATATACAAATAAATATGTAATTCACTGAAAATCTACTCAGTACATGTTGCCAGGCTTAGTCAAGGGAGCCCTAAAGCAGAGGTGTTTGAGACCTCTCCATTAAGCTATGAAGACCTTTTTGTTAGTTACAAAACTCCTCTTACTGTAGGTAAAATAGGTGAAATAGTGGCTGATGTTGAGTCGGTGGTAGAAGGCCCAGATCCTGCTGTGAGCCACTCCTCCAGTCTCAAGGGTCTCCTCAGTATACCTAGACTACTATGAAGCACAGTTTGAAAACATGGCCTATTAGATGAGGTGTAATTTCAACCTTAGTGTTTCTTGGGTACCGAAGTGGGTCACCTTAGTAGTAGTAACCCATGCCAGGCACTGTGGTGGACACCTGTAATCCCAGCACTTTGGGAGGCTGAAATGGGTGAATCTCTTGAGTCTAGGAGTTTGAGACCAGCCTGGGTAACATGGCAAAACCTCATCTCTACAAAAAATACAAAATTAAAAAAAATAGTAATAACCCAAGTTTTATTGACTCTTCTTACCGCATGCTCAACTAGGACCTTCTATTTGTTTCAACAAAGTTCTATCCAGACTTCATTGAGGATGTCTCACATGTCCTTATGAATGGTGACCATGTTATTATAGTCAACGCACAGATTCCTCTAGGCTCGTCCCTCTTCTTTGGCCTCAGCCCCATCCAAGTTTGCTGTCCACAAAACCTCTTGAGATGACTCTCCATTGCCCTAGCTTCTGGCCACCACAATCAGAATTTCAACATCCAAGCCAACTAAATCCAGAGGCCAAAGTTTCTAATCCATGAGGGCCAGAACAGCACTATGTCCTGGCCCATCTGTCTGGCAACCTGTGTCATGCGGGTCCCTCAGGAAAGTAAGAATGATACTCTTGCCTCAGGCCTCACTGAGTCCCTCACAAAGACCAATAGTATAGCTTTAGCTCACAGCCCCTTTTCTACCAGGCTCAGACATCAAACTGAGGTGCCAGGTATGGAACAAATCCCACTTTGGCCTTTCATTTTTACCTCCAACCCGATGGCCACTAAACCTCCTCCCTTCTGTTTCTACTCCATATAGCAAACCTACAAACTGACTATTCTTGTCCACCCACCAGTTTAGGTCCATTCTCTGACATGTTTAAATCTCAATTTGGGCTTAAAGTGGAATTAATTCATCAGATGACATTATTCTAAACAAGTTTGATATCAGCTGCCTTGTTTTCCTTAGGTTGACACCATTGACTTCTTTATGCCGTGGCTCTGAGCCCAGCCCTGGGGTGCCATGAGCTTAGATGGAGAGATTTGCTCAGGACATGAGACAGCTTCAGCATATGCACCAATATCTTTGGCCCTTGGAATGAATGTGTTATCCAAAGGGCAGCTACTGTCTTTAATAGATTTCCTGGAAAATTATGGAGAAAAACAAACAAACAAACCACAAAAGCTATTTCCTGATTTTTCCAGCAACTCTGACTAGTTTTGAGTAGGTTGTTTTTATTATTTCTTCCTTTGGGGAACGAATTAAAGTTGTGTGTTTATTTCTGCAACATTGAGAAACACAAAAGAAAGTCTCCCAAAAGGATGATCCTCTTTCCCATTGCAGATATTTGCCAACAACCACATGAAAAGGAAAAATATGCTTGAAGACAATGCATTATGCAACAGATTTGCCTTATAATATTACTTATAATTCCAATTCTATTTTAAATTCATTTAAGGTGTGACTCCCCACTCCCCTGCACCATCCAAAGTCATTTAAAGACCTAGGTGGGCTGGGCATGGTGGCTAATGCCTGTAATCCCAGCACTTTGGGAGGCCAAGGTGGGTGGATTGCTTGAACCCCGGAGTTTGAGACTAGCCTGGGCAACCTGGGGACAAACCCTGTCTCTATAAAAATGATAAAATTAGCCAGGTATGGCATGCACCTGTAGTATCAGCTACTCAGGAGGCTAAGGTGGATGAATTACTTGAGCCCAAGAGGTCAAGGCTTCTGCTAGCCGAGATTGCGCCACTATAATCCAGCCTGGGCAACAGAACGAGACCTTGTCTCAAAAAACAAACAAACAAACAAAAAACCAAAAAAACCTAGATGATAAATAAATAATCATACTGATAACAGCCTCTCATATTACCAGAGAGAACACGATTCTAATAAAAGCCAGTCATGACCACACTCAACATCTAGGATGGGGAAAAACTGTTGTGTTCTTTTCCCATTGGCTCTCCTTTTGGTCATATGAAGACAGCTTTAGGGCATTTGGAAGGCCCGTCTTGAGAACTTCTCAAGGCTGGTTTTAGTTAGTGGCACTTAGAGTACAACATGTTTAGATTTTTCCAAGAGGACCATCTCTAAGCAATCTTTCGCCTGCCAATAGCAACAGCATCTCATAACCATGATGTGCTACTATGCTCAAAGAATGCTTCCGTCTTCAAGGTAACAAAAGAATAGAACAAAGGCAGTTGAAGGAACTGAGACATATAAATGTATTGGTTTCCTACAGCTGCAGTAACAAAGTACCAAAAACTTGGTAGCTTAAAACAACAGAAATTTATTCTCTCACAGTTCTGGAGTCACACGTCCAAAATCAAGGTGCTAGCAGAGTTTGTTCTTTCTGGAGGCACTGAGGGGAAAGCTGTTCCGTGCTTCTCTCCTGGCTTCTAGTGGCTGCAGGAAATCCTTGGGGTTCCTTGGTTTGTAGATATATCACCCCAATCTCTGTCTTCACATTGTCTTCTTCTCCATGTGTCTTCTTCCTCCCCTCTTCTCCCCTCCCTTTCCCTCCCCTCTCCTCTTCTCCCCTCCCTTCCTCTCCTTTCCTTTCCTCTCCTTTTCACTCCTCTTCTTCTCTTCTCAAGACACTTGCCATTGGATATAGGCTGATCCTAATAAAACATAATCTCATCTCAATATCCTTAATTAATTACCTCTGCAGAGATCCTTTTTAAAAATAAGGGGATTCGAGACCAGCCTGGGCAACATGGTGAAACCCCATCTCTACAAAAAATACAAAAAATTAGCCAGGTGTGGTGGCGTGCACCTATAGTCCCAGCTACCCAGGAGGCTGTGGTGGGAGAATCACCTGAGCCTAGGAGGTTGAGGCTGCAGTGAGCCATGATTGTGCCACTGCACTCCAGCCTGGGTGATAGAGTGAGACCCTGTCTCAAACAAATAAGTAAATAAATAACATTTAAAAATAAATTTAAAAGTAAGGACATATTCACAGATTCTGTATCTTTTTTGGGAAAGGGATGGTGGCACCATTCAACCACCATAACATGTAAAGGTAAGTCAAGTAAATCCAAGTGAAAAAGGCAACAAACATGTCTATGATCCTTTAAGAAGAGATAAAATGACTGGAATTATGAACTGGGGATCAAGATATTGAGTTATATAGTCTTAGTTCTGTCAATGGTGACTCTGGGATACTGGGCAAGACCTTCTCCTTTGCAGGCCTGGTTTCTGCATTTATAAAATGAGAGGATGGATTAAATTAGTTTGAAAGTATGTTCCAGCTCTGGTGTTCCATGATTCCACATGAACACCCATTCTCCTAGTTCTCACATGTGCTTATGTGCACACATGGGTGCAAGTCATACCCCACCCTCTTGCAGATCAAGCCAGCCACCTCCCAAACCCAAATGTGATTTCCACACTGAATCTATAATCTATGCTTTCTCATGTGGGGCATCTGGGAGCTGGCTTCCATTGTGTCATGTTTGACTTGGCTGGAGAAATAAATTTGGCAGTGCTTAGAAATGCCACACCTTTATATTATGAGTTTTTCCACAATCTTCTTGGTGTCCAGGACTTGTGATCACTTTTCTTTCTTATTTTCCAATTGCGTATTTCAGCCTGTGGTCTTCAGCCTGCCCACCGCTTTTTCTGCCGCAGGAGCGGCCCCTGTCTCAGATGATTGTCCTGGCACTGGCAGATGACCTAAGTAGGTAATAAACAGATAAAGAAGAGAGACTTGGAAATTCCATGGCATCACTTCTTATGGAACTTTTGATGGTAAAATGACCACATGCTGGAAATCACACTGCAACTCTACTCCAGAAAATCTGTGTGGCATCTAATTTTGGTGGATTAACTGAGTCTTACTATCCCATGCTTCATGTGAGGGCTGTGCAAAGGAAGGGTATAGTCATGGAATCGTAGAATGACAGAGCTGGAGAAACTGTACCCTTTTTTTTCTATGTACAGTGTATATGCATTTTTCTACTTAGGTTCCATGAGGGTACAGAGTGTTGTTCACAGCTCTCTCCTCAGCACCTAGCCCAGGGTGTGGCAGGTAGTAGGAACTCGTCAAATTTCTGATTATGAATGAAAATGAATGCAAATCAGATGCAA
Organism: Homo sapiens; assembly: GCF_000001405.40. Lineage (NCBI taxonomy): Eukaryota > Metazoa > Chordata > Mammalia > Primates > Hominidae > Homo > Homo sapiens. The sequence goes on from NC_000001.11 coordinate 210,310,824, forward strand.
AGAAATCTGATTCTTAGAAGAATTCAGATCTCATGCAACCTTCTCATTTCTGATTCATTTTCAGTAGCCAGAAACGTTAGTAGGCTAACACTTCAGTTTCTCTGCTAAATAACTGATGAACTAAAAAGGACTAAAAATATCAAGAGAATTCTCCTATAAGGAGGAGCTCTGCACTCCTTCCACTGTGGGCATTAAGGATAGCCCTTCAACTTACCTGCTTTGTAAATTTAGGCTTTTTTAACATTGGGTTTTCTTAAACTTCTGTCTCTGCCTCCCCATTCTCCCCACTGGGCACCTCCCCCCCCCCCCCCCCCCCCGCCACGTGCGCGCGCACGAACACACACACACACACACACACACACACACACACACACACAGTGGCGGGGGGCGGGGGGTCTCATCTCTCTTTGCCGCCAGCCTGGCACCTATGGAAACAAACAAGGTCTTGTGCAGCCACCTAGTGGTGTCTCTTCACCCCTGCAGTTCCCCATGACTTCTAAAGGAAATATCAGAGGGCACTGGGAGGCACTGAGATACTTTGAAGACAACCCACTTCTCAAGGCATCTGGGACCGCCCCCAGAGGTGAGCCAGAGGGAAAACAGGAGAGCGAGCTCAGGGCGTGCCCGGCTCCGGCCGCTGCCTCACTTCCTCGGGGGTCAGCGGCCAAAGGCAGTGGGCGTGAGGCCAGACGACCCTGCACCACCCGAAGGAAGTGATGTCATGGTCTCCTTCTCCGAGAAGCCTTTGACACGGAGGGCGGGGGCGGGGGGATAGGAATGAGTGCCAGGGTGGGACAGACAGCCCTTGTTCCGTGGGAAACGTCAGGCTTTGAGAGACTTGTTTCATAAACATGCCTTGCCTCAGTTTTGAACCCTCCATTCGAGTTCCTTTACAGAATTGTCCCTTGAGAACGATAAACTGTTGTGATCAGAACAGAAAAGGGTCAGCCAAGCAGTGATCAGAGAACAGGGGCAGGCAGAACTCAACAGCCACTGGGCAATGGGGTTTAAATGAAGAGCCATAACATTGAACGAGGCTCCTAGGAGCTCCTAAGGACTCTGGAACCTTTCCACGGGGTCTTCAACCTTCACAGGTCCCGGGGTGCTGAGCCCAAGAAAGAGATGGAAGTCAAAGACCAGCACGATCAGACACACACCTTTCTTCTCATTCCATACACCACCCTGCAGTACCACCGTGACTGCTACCATCCCGCGAGCACCTTGCCTTTGAGGATTTGACCAGTTTTCATCCGAGTAGTAATGTATCCGATGTCCACTGGCTCCTTCCTTTACCCACGGACAGTTCTGTGTAAGCCTTTCTCATCTGCCTACAACGTCTGCCTATAAATTATTAGGTTTCTCCATTTAAAATAAACGGAACTTTCCCTCAAGCCTGCGATCCATACTCACCCACACCCACACTCCTCACGGGTGTCTCCAAAGAGCAGTTTATTCTGACCACTCTGTTCTGACCCCATTCCCATCTGGCTTCTGTCCTAACCATGACGGAAATTGCACTTTTGGAGGTTGCTCACGACTTTCTAGTTGCCAAATCCAAAGGCTTCATTAATAATAACATGTCAGTTTTGATATTTTATACAGTCACAGCTCCTGGTGTTCGAAGATGTAACTTAATTTTCCTAGAACTGACCTCAAATCATTAACTCAACCTCCAATGTCTGTGGTCTTTCTAATTCAAGATAAATCCAGCCCTTTCTGTTTTTTATCTTTTGTTTTACAGAGATGGAATCTTGCTCTGTCACCCAGGCGGGAGTGCAGTGGCACGATCATAGCTCACTGTAGCCTCCTGGGCACAAAGGATCCTCCTGCCTCAGCCTCCCGAGTAGTTGGGATTACAGATGTATGCCACCACACTTGGATAATTTTTAAATTTTTTTTGTAGAGACAGGAGTCTCCCTTTGTTTCCCAGACTGCTCTCAAACTCCTCGGCTCAAGCAATCCTCCCACCTCAGCCTCCCAAGTGCTGGGGACTGCAGGTGTGAGCCACCGCACCTGGTGCCCATTCTGTTTTTATTTTGATTTTAAATTTTTATTTTCATCTAACTTGTTTTTGAAATGTACCATCAGACCCATTCTGATTTTTTTTTTTTTTTGAGACAGGCTCTTGCTCTGTCACCCATGCTAGAGTACAGTGGCTTGATCTCAGCTCACTGTAACCTCTGCCTCCTGGGCTCAAACAATTATCCCTCCTAAGCCTCCCGAGTAGCTGAGACTACAGGCGCACACCACAAAACCTGGCTAAATTTTTGTATTTTTAGTAGAGACAGGGTTTCGGCATGTTGCCCAGGCTGGTCTTGAAGTCCTGGACTCTAGCAATCCACTCACCTCAGCCTCCCAAAGTGCTGGGGTTAAAGGTGTGAGCCACCACACCCAGCCCCATTCTGTTTTAAAACAGAATTGAAACATAGTCTTTGAATAGCGAATCAGAAGTTCCCTCCCCTTATTCCCCGACATTTTTTCAGTCTCTGCAGCTGCAGGGGGCATGTGTCTGTGGGGCAGGGTTCATGCATCATGTTGGTGTGGGGAGAAAAGCAGCGTCTGGCCCATCATGACATTCTGTCTACAACAGTTTCCACTGATTGGTAACTCTTGCAACTTGGTCTCATTGTCCTGAGCCAGCACTAGTTTCTGATGGCCAAGTTTCCACTGTCACCTCCCTTTGCCTACATCCTTATAGTCCAGACTGCAGCTCCTTTGGATCCTTTTGGCTTGTCCAGGGCCTCTTCTGCGTCCCTTTTGGTGGCCATAGAAACTTTTCAGATTTTTCCCCAGCCTCGCCAAGATGCAAGGGGTTTCTGTGTGGCCACCCTGGATCATGGTTGCTCTGTTCTTCTGATGCCATTCTGGTTGTGGAAATTCTCCCAGGAACTATGATTCTCCCTGGTACATTCTGAGAGGAGAGACACATGTGTCCTCTGCTATGGAGAGTCTCTGGTGATGTACGAATTTCTTTGACTATGACTATAATAGAAAATGCATTTTACATCACGGCTGAGCACACGTACACATCACACATGAAACAACAACTTCACCAAACAACATTGCCATTACCTGGCAACAAACTCTGGGATTTCCTAGTCCATTGTATTCTCTTTCTTTTAATGCTGGTTTTATCCCGATAAACCAATTTTATGATGCAAGAGGTCTCAGCCCACAGTTTAAAAAATATTGCCTTGATAGTGGGTTTACTTGGTTCAGAGGGTGGGCTCTGGGCTCCATACCAAAACTTAGGAAGCAGCTACACACTTGTTTTGCTCTTTCTCAAAATGCACAGCTTTCAGAATCAAAGAAAGTCCTGCCTCTCAAGCTGTTGTCTCTACTATGGGTTTAAAATAAATCCATTCAGACATTCAACAGATTTTTTCTTCTCAGCTTTATCTACTTTCTGTCTGAGAACAATGTGTATGGAATATGACAGAATGATAAAGAAAAGAGTAATGGTTATAAAGAAGCACAAGGGAAAAAAACCTCAGTTAACATTCCCAAATACACCTGTAATCCCAGCACTTTGGGAGGCCGAGGTAGGTGGATCATTTGAAGTCAGGAGTTGGAGACCAACCTGGCCAGCATAGTGAAACCCCATTTCTACTAAAAATACAAAAATTAGCCGGGCATGGTAGGAGATACCTGTAATCCTGGCTACTTGGGAGGCCGAGGCATGAGAATCACTTGAACCCGGGAGGTGGAGGTTGCAGTGAACTGAGATTGCACCAGTGCACTCCAGCCTGGGCAACAGAGCAAGACTTAGTCTCAAAAAAATAAATAAATAAATAAATAAATAAATAAATAAAAAATAAAAAACCAAGCATTACATATTCTGTTGGTAATAGTAATAGTAACTAATTATGATTCAGTATGTATTATGGGCCAGGCATGATGCTTAGCATTTCATGTTTATTATTTCAGTTAATCCTTATACCATCCCTATGATATGGTACAAATAGTATCCCCATTTTATAAAAAGGAAGTTAAGGCTAACCTAAATTTGACTGTTTCTCTGCCCTTTACATTCAGAGACCATTTCTCATGTCTGTTAGTTTTTGTTCTAGCCCTACCTCTATAAAATTAGGGATGAAAACTAGACCATCTCTCTCAGCTCAGAAAGAGTCCAGCAACCTTTCAAAGGCAAAGCTGCTTTCCACTAAGTTGGAAAAGTGATGGTCTTGCTGCACAGGCCTGCAGCTTGAACTGCACCCATCCCTCCTGCTGCTCTTAGCCTTTCTCCATCTAGGGCTTTCTACGGCCTAAAACTCAAGATCATCTTCTTCCAACCAGAAGGGATTAGGAGTCCTTCCTTCTTATTAGCAACCTGCAGATCCTCATAGGAAATGACCACGGTAACTTCCCTTTATCTTTTCTAAAACCCACATCTATAAAAGGGAGAAAGTGTCTCAAGAATGCAAACAAAACATAACTATAAACTTGAATTTTCTCCTTTGATTTGGTGAGTTCCTTCTTTATCCAGCAAATATTAATATTTATTGAAGATGTACTAGGCACATTTCTAGGTGCTACTGGAGATCAGGTGATGAACAAGACAGATCAAATTCTTCCCCTTCTGAAATTTACACTCTATAGGGGCTGGTTTCTGGGGAGTGCAGACACTGACTGGAGGTTTTCAGCTTTCTTTTATGTCACACTTCCTAGTAAGAAATGTGTCTTGCACAGCAATGTAGTATATTCCTTCTCCCTTCTGCCGCCACACAATAGAATCAAAGTTTTGTAGAACACTTGCTCTTATTAAATATAAAAACTAAAAACATAAAGTTAATATTGCCTTATTAATACTTGAATGCAGCCGGGTGTGGCGACTCACATCTGTAATCCCAGTACTGTGGGAGGCTAAGTCAGGCGGATTGCTTGAGCCAAGGAGTTTGACACCAGCCTGGGCAACATAGTGAGACCCTGTCTCTAAAAAAATTAAACAAGGTTAGCCAGGCTTGGTGGCATGTGTCTGTGGTCCCAGCTACTCAGGTGGTTGAGGTAGGAGGAGTGCTTGAACCTGGGAGGTTAAGGCTGCGGTGAGGTATGATGGTGCTACTGCACTCCAGCCTGGGCGACAGAGTGAGACCTCATCTCAAAACCAAAAAACAAAAAACTTGAATGCAGCATAAGAAAAATTTCCCAAATAAGCAATACAAAAACAAGAGTCAGGCAAGACTGTATTTAATGCACTAGGAGTACTTGTCTGCTTCTAAGTTTATTCCAGTCCAGAACATACAAGGATAATTCTCACTGTGCATACATTCATGCGCCTGTTTCTCTCCTTTGTTTTAATTGACTTTAAAAGTTGGAAATCCTTGTTCATACAAATAGGTAATTGTGAATGGTGATAATAAAGATGCATTCTTTTTGCCTAGGAATGGAGATTCTTCTTTAATCTTACCCTACAATTATGATTCATTTAACGTCTTGTGATTAGTCTTTCGTGCAAACGTAGAACTGAGCTGCAATAATTCATTCACCTCTTTTGGGCACCAAGTTTAGGTCAATTATTGATTCAGGGTTCTGAAAAGAAAATGAGTCTTTCATTTGAAAACTTTTATCTTGTGTTTATAATTTATCATCTGGAAAATCATGATTGCATCTGGAAAATCACTCCAAGTTTGAAACTGAGGAGTGAAATATAACGATCTCCCTAATTTTATTTCCATCATACTGACTTTACTAATAATACCATTTTCAATATGTTGTAACAATATGAGGAACAAATAGGTGCTAGGGTGATTGCTTTTAGGTCTTGCTTGCCATAACAAAATGTCTTTGGAATCCTGGATGTGTTGGACTTGCTGAATTATATTGTTGTTTTCTCCCTGAAATTATACATTTAAGTTCATTTTAAAAAATCAATAACCTCCATTAAATATACTAATTAAAAATGGCAAATATTGTCTTTGAAAATGAGATTGCTTGCCAAATGAGATTGCTTTCCAACTAGAAAAATGTGACTGTCATTTCTGAGTTTATTCATCCTGCTTAATACTTTCCCTTACGTGGTTATCCGTAGATAACAATGAATTTCAGTGAGCTTCAGTGTGAGAGTATGGTTCATTCAAATCTCACCAAAACACATCAAAATTTTGGCTATTGATGAGCTCTCTTTAATACATTTAACAACCTTCATGATGTTTTCCAATACTTCTATGAGATTTAGCAGACTTACTTCAAGAGATGGCACATTTCTATTGATTCTGATTTCTAAACACAACTGTCATGAATAGTTTTTACAAATATTTTAATGGCTTTGCTGCTTTCTAGCCATATCAGCTGGCCCTGTCACTCATAATTCCATTATTACATTTTATTTTATTTTTAAATATAAATTAAAATAATTGAATTTATTATTTTCTTTTAGAGATGGAGACTCCCTATGTTGTCCAAGCTGGAGTGCAGTGCTATTCTCAGACATGATCATAGCATGCTATATCCTTGAACTCCTGGACTCAAGTGATCCTCCCTCCTCAGTTACCCAAGTAGCTGGGACTAAATGTGCTGCCATCATGCCTGGCTCTATTTTTCCATTTTAGTAGATATTGACCAACAAAGCATTTTTCCACTTTTGTAAATATATACAATCCATTGTGTGTGAGGTTAAATTTAAACAACACAAACACCCCCACACACTCACACGCATCTTGTTGTTTTGCATACATGAGAGGAGTTTAACAACTTGCAGTATCTGTGCTGTTTTCGGGATGGATCTCAAGCTCTATACTGGATTTTAACCACATGAGAAGCATGGCTCTAGAAGGTTCTGCAGTAGCACAGATTTGACTAGAAATACTACTATCCCAAAGAATTGTACATTTCAATTTATTAGCTGATTTGGTATTAAAATCATATTCATCATAGCTATTTGTATTAGAGAATAATTTTTATTTTTTTATTTTGAAAGATTGATTTTTTTTAAAGTTGTTTCATTTTGAATTAGCATAGGTACATAATAGTTGTATATATTTATGGGGTACATGTGATACTTTGATACAGGTATGTAATGTGTAATAATCACATTAGGGCAATTGGAGTATCCATCATCTCAAGCACTTATCATTTCTTTATGTTAGGGACATTCCAATTCTACTCTTTTAGTTATTTTAAAGTAGACAATAAATTATTGTTAGCTATAGTCACCCTATTGTGCTACCATATACTAGATCTTATTCATTTTATCTAACTGTATTTTTGTACCCATTAACCATTTCCACTTTGTCACCCTATCCTTGCTATCCTTCCCAGTCTCCGGTAGCCATAATTGTACCCACTAAACTCCCTGAGTTCAATTTTTTTTTTTTTTTGCTCACATTTATGAGTGAGAACATGAGATATTTGTCTTTCTGCCCCTGGCATACTGCACTTAACATAATGTCCCTCAGTTCTATCTGTGTTGGTACAAATGGCAGGATTTCATTCTTTTTAATGGTTGAATAATATTCCATTGTCTGTATGTGCCACATTTTTTTTATCCATTCATTCGTTGATGGACTCTTAGGTTGATTCCATATCTTGGCTATTGTGAATAGCACTTCATTAAACATGGGAGTGCAGATATCTCTTTGATATACTGATTTCCTTTCTTTTGGATATATACCCAGCAGTAGGACCGTGGGATCATATGATAGTTTCATTTTTCATTTTTTGAGGAACCTCCATAGTGTTTTCTATAGTGGTTTTACCAATTTACATTTCCACCAAGAGCACACAAGGGTTTCCCTTTCTCCACATCCTTACTAGTTTTCATTATTGCCCGTCTTTTGGTTAAATGCCATTTTAATTGGGGTGAGATAATATTTCATTGTAGTTTTCATTTGCATTTCTCCAATGATTTGATATTGAGCATTTTTCCTGTACCTGCTTGCCATTTGTATGTCTTCTTTTGAGAAATGTCTATTCAGATCTTTTACCCATTTTTAAATTGGATTATTTGTTTGTTTGTTTTTTCCTATTGAGTTGTTGGAGCTCCTTATATATTGTGGTTACCCTTTGTCAGATGGGTAGTTTGCAAATATTTCCTCCCATTCTGTGGCTCGTCACTTCACTTTGTTGATTTTTTCCTTTGATGTGCAGAAGCTTTTTAGCCTGATGTGATCCCAGTTGTCCATTTTTGCTTCGGTTGTTTGTGCTTCTGAGGTCTTACTCAAGAAATCTTTGCCCAGACCAATGCTCTGGATAGTTAGAAGAATAATTTTTCAGCAACTGTGTGAGAGCCATTTTCTCTTTTGTCCAACCATATGTAACTAAGTCTCGTTAACAGTTTATAGAACAGGCCAGGCGCGGTGGCTCATACCTGTAATCATCGCACTTTGGGAGGCCGAGACGGGTGAATCACTTGAGGTCAGGAGTCCAAACCAGCCTCGCCAACATGGTGAAACCCCCTCTGTACTAAAAACACACAAAAAAATTAGCCGGGCATGGTGGTGGGCACCTGTAATCCCAGCTACTTGGGAGGCTGAGGCAGGAGAATCTCTTGAACCTGGGAGGTGGAGGTTGCAGTGAGCCAAGATTGTGCCACTGCACTCCAGCCTGGGCCACAGATTGAGTCTCCACCTCAAAAAACAAAACAAAACAAAACAAACAAACAAAAAATAGTTAATTGAACAACAGAGAAATTGTGCCAGTAATTGTTTGTCCTTTGTTTTCTTTTAAAAATGTTTGAAGGGCTTGTTAATAAGTCCAGCATGCTGTGTTTCCAAGTGTCCTTCTAGTTTTGAAGTTGTCATTACAAATAATACATTGGGGTTTGTCACTTTTGTTGGATTTTATGCACTGAAAATTTTTTTTAAATAATCCATCTTATAAAGCTGTGAATTCTCTTTTTCTTTTTAAAAGACATCTCAAATGAAGTTGAAGCTAACTAATTAGAATCAATAATTTTCTCAACCTTGTCATTATTTACAGTTCTAGGTTGAACTTGGGCATTTCTCTAATTTTTCCTTCATCATTCTTTTCTAATAAGGAGAAATCCTGTTAAAGGGAAATTCATGCTAATTTAACAAAATATACATTTGATGCAAACCTGAGACATATCTCACTTGACAATGTTCTTTCAGAAAAATGCTTTACAATGAATTCTGACTAATGTTAACATAAAATATAAACAGCTAATTATCTCATAAAGATGATGGGCATATTCATATCATATATGAGAAAATCAAATGAGATGTTTGTTTTTAGAAGGTAGAATGACTTGTACTAGCCAACTGATATTCATCGTAGTCTTTTTTTTTTTTTTCTTTTTTTTGAGACAGGGTCTCACTCCATCACCCAGGCTGGAGTGCAGTGGTGCGATCTTGGCTCACTGCAATTTTCGCCTCCCAGGTTCAAGCGATTCTCTTGCCTTAACCTCCCAAGTAGCTGGGATTACAGGTGTGTACCACCATGTCTGGCTAATATATATATATTTTTGGTAGAGATGGGATTTCACCATGTTGGCCAGGTTGGTCTTGAACTCCTGGCCTCAAGTGATCCACCTGCCTTGGCCTCTGTAAATTTTGGGATTACAGGCGTGAGCCATTGTGCTTGGCCCATCATAGTCTTTTATTAGCTTTCTTAATCTTGCTCATAGCAATTGGATGCAGTATTTCTTACAGTGTTCACAATTCCTAATAAAAGTCCAGTGATGTGTTCTCATGTTTTCTATTTTATTCTAATTGTTTATTATACTCTATTTCATTTTGTTAAAAAATAAGTAAAAAAAAATTAAATGTAGCTGTGACCCATTAAGTTTATTTTATAACCTACTAGGGTATTATGTCTTCCAAATAGTCTGAATAATGCTGACATAAATAATAAATGTATAAACAAATGAGAGAAGTTCAGAGAGTGGTAAGTGCTATAGGAAAATGGAAAAAGAATAATGTGATAGAAGAGAGAGTGACTGGGCAGAGATTAATTTTGCCAGGGATTGAATTTACCCTAGATAGGAAGGGTTCTTGGAGGAGATGATAATGAGTTGCACTCTGCATAGTTTAGGGTACTGATATGAGTCTGTTCTTCAGCATTAATGAGTAGTTTGAACTATATCATTTTAATTGTACTTCTGATTTGCCTGTTGTTTTGTGTATATCTGGTGAATCCCCAGCTAGACTGCAACTTCCTGCAAGAGAAGTCTTTTTTCCCTTTTTATAAAATCTCCCCCAATACTCAGTTTTGTGCTGTGTGTAAAGTTGGTGCTAGACAAATGCTAGTTCAATGGTGATTATTGAAAATCACAATAAACCAGGGTGGACATTCTTATAGGTGGAGCAGACAAAAGCCTATGCCAGGTGGTCAGGGTTGGGTAGATCCTTGAATCCTTCAAAATAGCTCGTGATTGCTCCTTGAGTGTGAATCTTCGTAATCAGAAATTCACTCCTTTGTCTTAAAGCCTTTATCAATGAAGTCTTAGCAACCATTTATGCCTCTGTTGAATGAGTATAATTGTATGGCTGAGTCACGGCTGAACTTAAAAGGAGGATTGGCCTGGTTAATCCTTCCTAAGCACCAGTTTTGCTGTCTGGAGAGTTGCTACCAGGCACTCAGGTCTGCCTGTCTGGATGGGAGGCCCCAGTGGAATACTTAGATTCCACTAACTGAGAGAGTCAGAGAGAAAACACACCCAGTGCAGGTGCCTGATTAATGACTTATGATTAAAATAATAGTATAGAGAGGAACTGACCATTAATTACTCACATTTACATACTAATTTTGGTATTTTTGCTTTCAAGGAAATACAATACCAAGGCACAAATTGGTTCCCTCCTTTAAACCTCAATTATCATAATTTTGCTCTATTTACTCTATTTCTAGTTTGCTTCTCAACTCCAGGGAGGACTCTCCTTGGCTTTGCTTGTAGTCAGAACTGAAGCGTTTCAAGCCAAGGCATGTCCGGTCACGTCTTGCCTCAGGGCTGGCTGCTCCGGCTCCAAGTCGGGAAGATCCAGAGGCCTTACTTCTCCAAGACAAGCAGAGATCCTCAACGTTCAGACACTTCTGCCGGTGTGTGAAGCATTAAAGGTGGGGGAGAATCTCCCTCTTCTCCCTCTCCTCCCATCTACACTCTCCCCAACCCAACTTTTCTCCTGGTGTTTAGACTTTGACGTTGGTTTACTCCATTGATCTTATTTCTCATTTCCAAAAAGAACTTAGTTTCCTACCATCCATTCCTTTTACTCCAATATCTGGCATTTGAAAGATGTTAATGCTTTTTAACAAGTGGTATTGGGAAAGTTGGATCACCATATGCAAAAGATTGAAGCTGGACCCTTACCTAACACCAAATACAAAAATTAACTTGAAATAGATGAAACCCCTAATCATAAGAATTAAAATTATAAAATTTTCAGAGGAAAATATAGGAAAAAACTTCATGACATTGGTTTCTTGGATATGACATTAAAAATACCAGCAACTGGCCAGGCATGATGGCTCATGCCTGTAATCTCAGCACTTTGAGAGGCCAAGGTGGGAGGATCACTTGAGCTCAGTAGTTCGAGACCAGCCTGGGCACCATAGTGAGGCCTTCTCTCTACTAAAGATAAAAACGGCCGGGCATGGTGGCTCATGCCTGTAATCCCAGCACTTTGGGAGCCCGAGGCGGGTGGATCACGAGGTCAGGAGTTCGAGACCAGCCTAACCAACATGGTGAAACCCCGTCTCTACTAAAAATACAAAAATTAGCCAGGCGTGGTGGTGTGTGCCTGTAATCTCAGCTACTTGAGAGGCTGAGGCAGGAGCATTGCTTGAACCCAGGAGGCGGAGGTTGTGGTGAGCTGAGATCGTGCCATTGCACTCCAGCCTGGGCTTAATAAGAGCGAAACTCTGTCTCAAAAAAAAAGAGATAAAAACAATTAGCTGGGCATGGTGGCACATTCTGATAGTCCCAGCTACTTGGGAGGCTAAGGCACAAGGATCACTTGAGCCCTGGAGACGGAGGCTGCAGTGAGCTATGAATGTGCCATTGCATTACAGCCTTGGTGACAGAGTGAGGCCCTGTTTCAAAAAACAAAATAAAAACATAAACAAAAAACCAGCAACAAAAGAAAAAATAGTTAAATTAGACTTCACCAAAACTAAAATGTCTGTGCATCAAGGGACACAATCAGCAGAGTGAAAAGACAAGCCACAGGATGAGAGAACGTATTTGCAAATCATATATTTGATGAGGGATTAATATCCAGAATGTACAAAGAACTCCTACAACTTAACAAGAAAACAAACAATACAATTTTAAAAATGGGCATAGGACTTGATTAGACAGTTCTCCAGAGAAGGTATGTAAATGACCAATAAGCATATGAAAAGATGATCAACATCACTAATCATTAGGGAAATGTAAATTAAAACTACAAGGAGATACTACCTCATACTGATTAGAATGGCTAGTATAAAAACACATCAAAAAATAACAAGTGTTGGTGAGGATATGGAGAAATTGCGCTGTTGATGGGAATGTAAAATGGCACAGCCTCTATGGAAAATAGTATGGCAATTCTTCGTAAAATTAAAAACAGAATTACCATATGATTCAGCAATTTCACTTCTGGGTATATACTCAAAAGAATCGAATGCAGGGTCTTAAAGAGATGTTTGTATATCCGTGTTCATGGCAGCATTATTCACAACAGCCAAAAGAAGAAAGCAACTCAAGAATCCATAGATAGATAAATGGAAAAAATGTGTGACATACATACAATGGAATATTATCAGTTTTAAAAAGGAAGGAAATTCTGACGTGTTGGCTTAAAAAATCACACATTTTTTATACATTTAGAAAGGAGACTTTATTTCTTATAAAGGGTTACATCCTGCAGGGTGGCCATCTGACAGGCTGAGAAGTGTAGCCTCTGGTTTTTTAAAGCCATTCAGCCACTCTTATATCTTTTGATTGGAGAATTTAGTTCATTTACATTCAGTGTTATAATTGATAAGTAAGGACTTACTCCTGCCATTTTGTTATTTGTTTCTGGTTGTTTTGTGGTCTTCTCTTCCTTCTTTCCTTCCTGTCTTCCTTTTAGTGAAGGTGATTTTTTCTGGTGGTTATGTTTTAATTTCTTGCTTTTTATTTTTTATGTATCTGTTGTATGTTTTTGATTTGAGGTTACCATGAGGCTTGAAAATTATATCTTATAACCCATTATTTTAAACTGATTACAACTTAACACTGAGTGTGTAAACAAACAAGCAAGCAAAGAGAAAACTAATGAAAACTCTACATTTTAACTGGCTTACCCCACTTTTTAACTTTTTTGTTGTTTCTATTTATATCTTATTGTATTGTTTATGTCTTGAAAAGTTGTGGTAACTATTATTTTTAATTGCTTCCTCTTTTAGTCTTTTTACTCAAGATATGAGTAGTTTACACACCACAATTACTGTGTTAAAATATTCTGTGTTTTTCTGTGTATGTACTATTACCAGTGAGTTCTGCACCTTCAGATGATTTCTTATTGCTCATTAACGTCCTTTTCTTTCAGATTGAAGAACTCCCTTTGGCATTTCTTGTACAGGGCTGGTGTTGATGAAATCCTTCAGCTTTTGTTTGTCTGGAAAAGTCTTTATTTCTTTTATGTTTGAAGGATGTGGCTCGCTGAATAGACTATTCTAAGATAATTTTTTTTTCCTTCAGCACTTTAAACATGACATGCCACTCTCTCTTGGCCTGTAAGGTTTCCCCTGAAAAGTCTGCTGCCAGACGTATTGGTGCTCCATTGTATGGCATTTTTTATATTTTTTATTTTTTATTTTTTTATTTTTTTTTGAGACATAGTCTCATTCTGTTGCCCAGGCTGGAGTGATGCAATCTCAGCTCACTGCAACCTCTGCCAACCAGGTTTAAGTGATTCTCTTGCCTCAGCCTCCTGAGTAGCTGGGATTACAGGCACCCACTACCACACCTGGCTAATTTTGTATTTTTAGTAGAGACAGGGTTTCACTATGTTGGTCAGGCTAGTCTCAGACTCCTGACCTCAGGTGATCCACCTGCCTCAGCCTCCCAAAGTGTTGGGATTACAGGCGTGAGCCACTGTGCCCGGCCAGGAACCTTTCTTTATCCTTGAGCCTTGGGAGTTTGATTATTTAATGTCTTGAGGTAGTCTTATTTACGTTAAATCTGCTTGGTGTTTTATAACCTTCTTCTACTTGGATATTGATATTTCTCTAGGTTTGGGAAGTTCTCTGTTATTATCCCTTTGAATAAACTTTCTACCCCTATCTCTTTCTCAACCTCCTCTTTAAGGCCAGTAACTCTCAGATTTGCCTTTTGAGGCTATTTTCTAGATCTTGTAGGTGTACTTCATTTTTTAAAATTATTTTTTCTTTTGTCTCCTCCCACTGTGTATTTTCAAATAGCCTGCCTTCAAGCTCACTAATTCTTTCTTCTACTTGATCAATTCTGCTATTAAAGGATTCAGATGCATTCTTCAGCATATCAATTGTATTTTTCAGCTCCAGAATTTCGGGCTTAATTCTTTTCAATTATTTCATTTGCTTCATTAAATTTACCTGGTAGGATTCTGAATTCCATCTCATGTTTTCTTGAATTTCATTGAGTTTCTTCAAAAGAGCTATTTTGAATTCTCTGTCTGAAAGGTCACTCTGGGATTGATGCCTTATTTAGTTTGTTTGGTGATGTCATGTTTTCCTGGATGGTCTTGATGCTTGTGAATGTGTGTCAGTGTCTGGGCATTGAAGAGTTAGGTACTTATTGTAGTCTTCACAGGGTGGGCTTGTTTGTATTCATCCTTCTTGGGAAGGCTTTCCAGGTATTCTAAGGGACTTGGGTGTTGTCATTTAGGTTTGGGTCACTGCCATCATATCTGCATTAGAGGGCACCTCAAGCTCAGGAATGCTACGGCTCTTGCAGACTCAGAGGTACCACCTTAGTGGTCTTGCATAAGATCTGAGAGAATCTTTCCCCAGCTGCTGCTGTAGGATGAGGGAGGGGTAGCGTCTGCAATTCAAGACTGTCTTCTCTACGCTTTTCAGTGCCTCTTTCAGTGATATGAAGTTAAAACTTGGTACTGCAATGGCCCACTTGATCTTTGGTTCTTATTAAGGTGTTTTTTGTTGATAGTTGTTCATTTTGTTGTTCTTGAAGGGAGGACAATTGGTGGAAGCTTCTATTTGGCATCTTGCCCCACCTCCCTTAGATTTTGATAAATTTTAAGTTTTCATACTGCCAAATTGCTTACCCAACTAAACATTGTGTGTGAGTGCTATCACATAGCACCCATGCCAGGCTGTAATGTTATTTATTAATTTTTTGCCAACTTAATGTGTGAAAATTGTGTGTTCTTGTTTTTTTTTTTTTTTTTTTTTTTTTTGAGACGGGGTCTTGCTCAGTCACCCAGGCTGGAGTGCAGTGGCACGATCTCGGCTCACTGCAACCTCTGCCTCCCGGGTTCACGCCATTCTCCTGCCTCAGCCTCCCGAGTAGCTGGGACTACAGACACCCGCCACGATGCCTGGCTAATTTTGTTTTTGTATTTTTAGTAGAGACGGGGTTTCACCACGTTAGCCAGGATGGTCTTGATCTCCTGACTTCGTGATCCACCCACCTTGGCCTCCCAAAGTGCTGGGATTACAGGCGTGAGCCACCATGTTCTTGTTTTACTATGCATTTCATTGAGCTTTTTGCAATATATTTTTGTTTCCTACTTTTATTTCCCTCCTCCTTTTTCTAGTGGGTTGTCTATAAATGTGTCTTGCTCATCTATAATTGATTTCTAATGTTTTCTTATTGATTGTATTAACTCTATATATAATTTTAAAATTAACACTTTGCAAATTTCTTGCAAATATCCCAGTCTATTGCTTATCTTTAAATTTTGGCTATTATGGCCAAGCATGGTGGCTCACACCTGTAATCCCAGCACTTTGGGAGGCTGAGGCAGGTGCATCACTTGAGGCCAGGAGTTCGAGACCAGCCTGGCCAACAAGGCAAAACCCTGTCTCTACTAAATAGCCAGGTGTGGTGGCTGGTGCTTGCCTGTAATCCCAGCCACTCAGGTGGCTAAGGCACAAGAATTGCTTGAATCTGCAGTGAGCTGAGATCATGCCACTGTGCTTAGCCTGGGTGACACAGTGAGACTGTCTCTAATACATACATATATATATATATATATATATATATATATATACACACACACATAAATTTTGGCTATTTTTATTTGATGTTTCTGATTGCCTGTGTTTAAATCTGCCTTTATCTCCTTTGTGTTCGCCGGTGAATTTAAAGTGCATATGTAGACAGGGGTTAAGTGTAAATCACACTGAACCTATATTAACAACAGCATCTTTTAGAAATAATATAGGAGCTGTTATCACATCCCTGTCCCTGAGTTTGACACTACCTGAGTTGAGTTCTTATTCTGCCACTCCCTCTGCCAAACCCTTGGATCTAGAGTTGACAGATAAAATACCCAGTTAAGTTTGATTTTCAGATACCCAGGATGTAAATTTGAATTTCAGATATACCATTTTTTTTTTTTTTTTTTGGTAGAGATGGAGTTTCATCATGTTGGCCAGGCTGGTCTCGAACTCCTGGATTCAAGTTATCTACTCACCTCGACCTCCCAAAGTGCTGGGATTACAAGCTTCCTGTAAGTACTTAAAAAAAATAAGTATATCCCAAATATTGCATGGGTCATAGTGATACTAAAAAGTTACATATTGTTCACCTGAAATTATTTACTTATTTTTTTGAGACAGAGTCCGGCTCAGTCACCCAGGTTGGAGTGCAGTGGTGCGATCTGAGCTCACTGCAACCTCTGCCGCCCGGGTTCAAGCGATTCTCGTGCCTCAGCCTCCCAAGTGGCTGGGATTACAGGTGCAGGCCACCACACCCGGCTAATTTTTGTATTTTTAGTAGAGACGGGGTCTCACCATGTTGGCCAGGCTGGTCTCAAACTCCTGGCCTCAAGTGATCCTCCTGCTACCGCTCCTAAAGTGCTGAGATTACAGGCGTGGGCCACCGCGCCCAGCCTGAAATTCAATTTTAATTGAGTATGCTGTATTTTTATTTGCTAAATCTGGCACTCCTATTTGGGGCTAGTTTACTAACACCTGCTTACTGAACACCATCCAGTACCAGGTTTTGGGGTGAGTGGGTTGGGGGGAAGCAGAAAGAAAAGATAGCTCCAGCTCTTGGAGAGTTCATACTCTGGTTTCCTGGAGAATTCTAAAATCATTAAAATAATCCTCTCGACCATTACAATGACTGCTAGATGAAATTTCTGAGAGCACAGCTTCCGAGTTTCCCTGCTGCCTAGGGCAGAGTTATCCACCTTCACCTTATCATAGAACCACCTGAGACGCCCCTGCCATGGACAGTCTGATGCTTTTGGTTTGGGGAGGGATCCAGAAGCCCGAGGTTTTAATGAGAGCCACGTGATTCTGCTGAGATAAGTCTGGAGAACTCTGGCAAGCCTGTCTCTTGGCTCAGGCTTGGAGGCCTCCGAGCAGCAACATCGTCCCAATTATACCCCGTTGGAGCATCTTCAGATCTTCCACTCTTTTCACAACGCAATCAAAATCTTCGTACCCATTTTGCAGTAGTGATCTCTGTAAGTTGCTTTACAATTCATAAAGTTTATTCTATTTGATCTTCACTCTAATTTACAAAGAAAAGCAGGGAAGTCTATTTCTGTTTTACAGAGGTGTACAGGGAGGCTCACAGGGGCTAAGTTCACACAGTAAGCCCTCGAAGCTGCCAGGGCTGCAAAGCCCACCCTCTTTCCACCGCACCGAACTACCTCCTTTCGCCTACAAAACGTAGGTGGGGACCACTGGTGTTGGAATGACGGCCCACCTCGAGTTTCAGGTGACTTCCACTCTGCAATTAACTTGCAGGCAGCCCCAGACCTGCAATGAACACACGGGTGGGGGAGAGATATGCACGCCAGGGTCAGTGGGAACCAACAGCCGAGGGGTGAGCGGGGCTAGGGGCCCCGGGCCGCCGGCGGGGCAAACGCGGTTCAGAAACGCAGGCCGCGCTCTGGCCCGCCCCCTGCAGCAGCACGGCCTGCTCGCCATCGCCCGGAGAGCGCCGCGGGTTCCCGAGTCCGGGCGCGGAGGGCGCGCGGGCACGGCGGCAGGGGCGTGCTCGGAGGACGCGCGCTGCGCTGCTCCTCCAAAGGGCAGCTCCGGGGGAAAGAGGGTGGCGTCCCGGGGAAGCCCGCAGCCGCCGCCGATGTCGCTGGGACTCGGAAGTGCCGAAAGAGGGGTGTTGGGAACTCGCGGCGCGCGTGAACGTTGCCGTCGCCGCCGCCCGGGACAGCCCGGAGGTTGGTAACTGGTGACCATAGGGGGTCCTGGGGAGGTTAGATGCTGAATTTTCTGCGTCAGTTTACTCTGTTAAAAAAAAAATGCACAAAACGCTTTCCGTTTCCTACCCAAGTTCCCGTGTGCGCGCCCGAGGGCGGGACAGAGGAAGTTCCCGGTCGGGCGAAGAAGACAAAAGCGGCGGGGGCCGCGCGCGCAGTGCGCCCGGGCAAAGGCGGGGATCTAGGCGCCGGGACAAGTCCGCGCACGGCCCTGCCCACGTCCTCTCTCCTTGGCTTCGTCCCCAGCTTCCGGAACTGCTGCGGGGAGTTGCGAACTCTGGTCCTCTTGGCAGTATCGGCGGTGCGCCTGCCTGCCTGCTGTGACTCCAGGGACTCTAAAGTTAGAGACTTCCTTTGCGTTCTATCTTCAGGACTCAGTTTTCTTCCTCTGTTCTGAGTCTAACCTTCAGGTGGCAGGTCTTTATGCGGAAAAACCCTCCCGCTAATCCTCACCAGAGGTACTTTACGGGTAGCATTGGTGTTAAGAAATGTGCTGCTACCTGTGTACATTGCTCTTGGATCAGGGTTGTAGGGCTAGGGCATTTGGCATCCTCAGAGGTTTGCATTACGTGGGAGTGAGACATTGCTTCTCTTTCTGTTTTTGTTGTTGTTTGTGTTTTTGAGGCGGAGTTTCGCTCTGGTCGCCCAGGCTGGAGTGCAATGGCACAATCTCAGCTCACTGCAACCTCAGCATCCCGGTTTCAAGCGATTCTCCAGCCTTGCCTCCTGAGTAGCTGGGATTACAGGCATGCGCCACCACGCCCACCTAATTTTGTATTTTTAGTAGAGACGAGGGTCTCACCGTGTTGGCCAGGCTGGTCTCGAATTCCTGACCTCGGGTGATCTGCCCACCTCGACCTCCCAAAGTGCTGGGATTACAGGCGTGAGCCACCGTGCCTGGCATCTCATTCATTCTCAGAGCTAAGGACCTATTTCAATGTGATTAAGTGCTATGGGAATGCAAGGAGAGGAGAGGGAAGGCTTCATTGAAGAGGCGGTAGTTCATTGAAGGAGACTTTGAGGAATGATTTTTTTCCCCTTCCATTCCTCATGTTCCATTTTCCCTGTGATTTTTCTCCCTCCTTTCTCGTTGCCAGTCAGTCCCTAATTGTGATTGTTTGATAAGGACAGCTCTGACCTGAGAGATTCAATTAATGTTAATTTAAGGAGACTGTGTGCTTATTAGGTGCTTTAGATACATTATTTCTAAACCTTACAGTAACTGGGAAAGATAAGTGTTGTTATCTCTTTTCACAGTAGGATAGAGAAAGCCTTGGAGGGGAGCCAAAGCCACAAACTAGTACATGTCAGGGCCGGGTTTTGGACTCCTCTTTTGGATCAACGCCTGTGCTTTATCTACTGTTTACTTTGCCCCCTCCTTGGAAGTAGGTTAGATGGATGAACTTAGGGTGAAAGTCAATTCTTTGGAGGGAGCAGCCGTTTTTGTGGGTGGCCAGATGTTGGTGGGAGCTCTGTAGGTAGCATCAGGAACTTGCGAGCATGGGCCTTACCTGCACCCCCTGCTTCCAGCTTAGGACCTGGCCCAGGGGGAATGTTCCCTAAAGCAGTGGTCCCCAACCTTTTTGGCACCAAGGACCGGTTTCATGGACAATAAGTTTTTCATGGACTGGGGGAAGGGGGATGGTGTTGGGATAATTCAAGCACGTTACATTTATTTTATTTATTTGTTTTGAGACAAGAGTCTCGCTGGGTCACCCAGGCTGGAGTGCAGTGGCACGATACTGGCTCACTGCAACCTCCACCTCTGGGGATCAAGCAATTCTCGTGCCTCAGCCTCCGGAGTAGCTTACAGGCATGCGACACCACATCTGGCTAATTTTTGTATTTTTAGTAGAGACAGGATTTCACCATGTCAACCAGGCTGGTCTCAAATTCCTGAGCTCGAACTCCTGAGCTCAAGCCATCCTCTCCTTGGCCTCCCAAAGTGCTGGGATTACAGGTGTGAATCACCATGCCCCACCTGCATTACATTTATTGTGGACTTTATTTCTATTATTATTACATTGTAATATGAATACAACTCACCATAGAGTAGAATCAGTGGGACCCCTGAGCTTGTTTTTCTGCAACTAGGCAGTCCCATCTGGGGGGGTGTGTTGGTAGACATTGACACCCAAAGTGTGTTTGCTTATGTCCAGCCTACTTCATAGTCTCATTTTGGTTGCTGTCACTGCAGAAGACCCTGCTTCACAAAGATAGGATGTTGGAAATGGAAGCAGGCTTTTCGGTGCTTTTGTGGCAATTTCAGGATACTTTGCCTTGACTTTAATCCAGAATGTATGGATATTTGAAGTTGTCTTAAACATACTTCTAGGGCCCGGTCATTTGCTATCTCAAACAGTTGGTCCTCTTCTAGCATGGACAAAGTCAATTCACCTGGCTTATTCACAAATGGATCTAGGATCCTTCCCAGTTCGGGTGTCTTTTGTAGTTGGGAAGTAATGCTCAAACTCTTTTGAAAGCTGAGATAGGTGATCATGCACCAGCTGGGAGAGAGAAGGCCCTGGCTTAGTCTCTTTCAAAATCTCTGCTAATGTTTGAAACGTGTCAGAAATCCCAGTGTTCACTTGTCGCCGCAATAATTCCAGTTTGGTTTTGAGTGCAGCCACTTATCTGCCGACTTGAACACAGTTCTCCCCTGAAGGGACAGATGGAGTTCATTGAGGAGGTAAGCAAGTAAGCAAGTTTTGTAACCCCTTCTATGAAATGTGCTGCCAGTGGTGACTACTTTTCTAGAAGAAATCTCTGGAGTGGCCCTCATAACTCAAACTCCGGCCAGTGATCTATCTTTAGAAAGCCATCCCACTTCTGTGTATAAAAGATGTGTGTGCTCTATGTCCATCTCACAGAGCTGTGTGAACAGATGTGAGTTAAGGGCATGTACTTTAATGTGGTTGATAATTTTAATCACATCCTGCAAAATGTTCTTAAGTTCAGGTGACATTTTTTGGCTAGCCAACACTTCTCTATGGATGTCACAGTGCATAGACTCACATTCAGAAGTGACCTCTTTGGCCCGAGTAGTGAAACCAGTCGTAGCAGTCGCTCTGCCCAAGCACATACTACCCAAAAGGACCAATTCGGTTTTTCTGATAGGTAATCATTCAAAGACTTGAATAGTTGTGCAGCTGTGGTGTTGGTTAGCAACAAAAGTGCAAGTGACATATCCTCGTGCACCTAACATCTTCATGTATATCCTCCTGAAAACTGTATCACAAAAAAACAAGCATTGTTGCCTTGTCAACACTGGTAGACTAGTCAACCCAGATTGCGTACCGCAGTGACTCATTAATCCTCTCTACCAATTGTGCCTCAATATCCGCTGCTATTTCAATTCGCCTAGTTTACTCTTCACCAATAGTAAAGGGCTTCTTAGCTTTAGCAATACGGTTAGCCACTAAGAATGATACTCTCATTGCAGACACATTTGATGAAATGGTAGCCTTCAATAATTGCTTCTGTTCTTTGTGCTTATGTTTTTTCTTTTGAAAAACTCCGAAGCCTTGTCTTTTAATGCAGGGTGCTTGGTCTCCATGTGGTGAAGCAGTTTTGAAGGTTTCATGGCTTCATTGGATAGCCAGTGGCCACATATTACACAAAGTGGGCTTGGAGAATGTGAGTCACCTGTTGCAATGAACCTGTAATTTGAGTATGACTCCTGGTATTTTCTTTTAAATGCAGCTTGCTTTTTGTTGGCAATCTTACAGTCTTCTGTCTCATCATTGGGTCTTCCCCCTTTTCAAAGAAGCTTACCAGTGATGTTTGTTTTTTACTCATTTCGGCTAGGGTTAGCTTGTGGGCTTACCAAAACTGTGACTGAGACAAATGTGCAGTGCAGGAAACAGGCACACCTGGAAGTGGTAAATAATGGGCGGGCCATGAGTGGACTAAAATAAGTGTCGGATTCTGACTGAAAGCCTGCCCACAGATGCAGCTGTACGATGGAAGTACATCAACTCACTTGCCACTATAAAGCCTGCCACCAGGCAGCATTAAGCTACTTGTTACTTGACACTCACTGATAGGATTTTGATATGAGTCTGCAAGCAATTGATTTATTATGGTCTCTGTGTAGTCAAACCTCCCTCTTAATGCTAATTTGTATTTGCAGCCACTCCCCAGTGCTAGCATCACTTGTAGTCCCAACTACTTGGGAGGCTGAGGAGGAAGGATCACTTGAGCCCAGGAGGTCAAGGCTGCAGTGAGCTATGATCAGGCCACTGCACTCTAGCCTGCATGACAGAGTGAGACCCTGTCTCTTAAAAAATAATAATAAAATGAAAAAACTAAAAAAGCTCCAAATGTATGAGTATATGTACTTCTTTATCAATGCAGTAAGTAACAAAATTCAGTGCAGTAGCAAGTAACTCCTGTAATTTCAAAGTAGTGATGCCCATGTAAATGGTATTTTGTAGTATTTTCAAAGGCTACACAGTAGTATGAAAGTATCTGACTTTTACTGGTGACATTCGTCAGAGCTGCTTTTACTACTATGATTTTTTTTTTTTTCTGAGACAGCGTCTCACTATGTCACACAGGATGGAGTGCAGTGGCATGATCTCGGCTCACTGCAACCTTCGCCTCCCGAGTTCAAGCAATTCTCATGCCTCACCCACCCCAGTAGCTGGGATTACAGATGTTCACCACCGTGCCTGGCTAATTTTGTAGTTTTAGTAGAGACAGGGTTTTGCCATGTTGGCCAGGCTGGTCTTGAACTCCTGGCTTGAAGTGATCTGCCCACCTTGGCCTCCCAAAGTGCTGGAATTACAGGTGTGAGCCATTACATCTGGCTGGAACTGCTCTTACTACTGTGAGTCGTTGTCCACATCTATAATCCAATGAAATGCTAATTTTCAGCCAGAAATTCATGAAAATAAAGATATTTGAGCTCATGTCCCCCTGAATTCTCTCTATGGACACCTTGGGAGTGGAGGGCTGGGGATCCTGGGTTACATACAACCCTACTTAGTGGTTGTTTTTCATCTAAGTACTTGCTGGCCACTTTAGCGTGTCATTTTTTTTTTTTTTTTTTTTGAGAAAGGGTCTTCCTGTGTTTCCCAGGCTGGATCACAGCTCACTGCAGCCTCAACTTCCCAGGCTCCCACCTCAGCCTGCTGAGCAGCTGGGGCTACTGGCATGCAACACCATTCCTGGCTAATTTTTGTATTTTTAGCAGAGAAGGGATTTCGCCATGTCGCCCAGGCTGGTCTCAAACTCCTGGGCTCAAGTCGTCTGCCCACCTCAGCCTCCCAAAATGGTGGGATTACAGGCATGAGCCACCACACCCAGCCTGTTAGTGCATTACTGATAGCAGTTTCCTTCTCCTTCAGTTAGTTTTCCCCTTTTTAGCCCGGGTTCACAGTTGTTTCTGTTTGATGAAAGCTTTTGAGAGGGGATTGCTGGATTGTTTATATAATCTACCTGCCCTGCTCCTTCTGTGGGTAATATGGTTGGAGAATATTCCTGAAATAGTGGATGTATGTCATATAGTGTATACACCCTACCTTTTTATTTTTTTATTTTTATTTTTATTTTTTTTTTTGCGAATAGAAATGAACCTTAGTGGTAGATGATGTTATTAGTGTCAGGGAAGAAAAATGAACTACTATCACATATCCCACAGACAGAAGCTCTTAAGATGTTATGAACGATTTCATGGTAATACATTTGAAAATTCAGATGAAATTGACAGGTTTTTCCAATAAAATATATTACCAAAGACACAAAAACTAGAAAAAATGAGTAGTCCTATATCTACCAAAAACATTGAATTTGTAGTTAAAAACCTTTCCATAGCAAAATTTTCAGGCCCAGATGGCTTTACTAGTGAAACTTCCAAACATTTAAGAAAATTAAAGAGGAACCACTTTCCGGTTGCATTTATGAGGCCAGCACAATCTTGTTACTAAAAATTGATAAGGATATTACAAGAAAATTATAGGCCAAATGCTCATAAAGACAGACACATAAGTCTTAAATATGGTAAGTCAAATCTAGCAATCTATAAAAAGGATAATAAATCATGACCAAGTTGGATTTATTTCAGGAATGTAAACTTTGGCTAACACTACGAAAGTCAACAAATGCAATTTAACTCCATATATGAAGTAAAGGAGAAAAAGTATTTGATACAACTCAGCACCCATTCATGATGAAAAAAAAAAAAGCCTCTTTGCAAGCTGGAGCATTGAGAGAAATTAGATTTAAAATAACAGAGGGTAAGGTATTGCTCTGCAAATCTATAGATTCGGGCCAATCCCAATCAAAATCCCGGCAAATTTTTTCTTCAAAAATAGGTGATAAGCAGATTGGAAATTTATTTGGAAATTCTAGACAGTCTTAAGAGCAAAACTGGAGGACCTAAGCTACTAGATCAATATGTAGTCATGTCAGTGTGGTATTGCATAAAGCTACACAGATTATGGAACTGAGTAAAGAATCCATAAACAGGCTTATACATCTGTGGTCTTTTGATTTATGACAGAGGCAACACTGCAGGGCAGTGGAGAGAAGATGGTCTTCTCAGTAAATGACACTGGGTCGATTGACTATCCACATAGACAAAATGAATCTAGATCATGTACCTCATCTCATATACAAAAATTAATCAAGATAACAACATACACCTAAATGTGAACGCTAAAACAAAGCACCTGGAAGAAAGCAAAGTAAAATATCTTTATGACCTAGGGACAAGGTTTCTTGAATAGGCCACAAAAAGCACTAATTGGTACAGTGATAAGAATGAACAAATTATTGCCTCACATAACATGGATGAATCTTGTGACACAAAGCTGAGCAAAACCAAGATAGATGTAAAAGAGTAAATGCAATGTGATTCCATTGATGTAAAGTTCAAAACCAGACAACTAAATAAACCATGGTGGTAGAAGTTAGGCTAGTGGTCATCTTTGATGGAGTTAGTGACTAGGAAAGGGCAGAAGGGGCTTCTGAGGCATTCTTTTGTTTTTTGGAGACAGGATCTCGCTCTGTCACCCAGGCGGGAGTGCAGTGGTGTGATCTCAGCTCACTGCAACCTCCCTGACCTGGGCTCAAGCGATCCTGTCACTGCAGCCCACCTGAGTAGCTGGGACTACAGGCATGCACCACTGTGCCTGGCTAATTTTTTTTTTTTTTTTTTTTTTTAGAGACAGGGTCTTACCATGTTGCCCAGGCTGGTCTTGAACCCCTAGGCTCAAGTAGTCTACCCATCTCCTCCTCTCAAAGTGCTAGAATTACAGATGTGAGCCACTGCCTCTGGCCTGGCGTGCAGTTTTTATCTCAGTGACAATTACTTGGTAATTACATAAGGCTTTCCACTTCTTGAAAGCCCTAAGGGCTGGGCATGATGGCTCATTCCTGTAATCCCAGCACTTTGGGAGGCTGAGGAGGGAGGATCACTTGAGGCCAGGAGTTTGAGATCAGCCTGGCCAACATAGCAAGATCCTGTCTCTAAACAAGACTAAAAAATTAGCAGGGGGTGGTGATGCGAGCCTGCAATCCCAGCTACTCCTGAAGCTAAGGCAGGAGGATCTCTTGAGCCCAGGAATTTGAGGCTGCAATGAGCTATGATCATGCCATGCACTGTAGTCTGGGTGACAGAGTGAGACCCTGTTTAAGAAAAAAATAAAAAATAAGAAAAAGGAAGCCTTAAGGTTTTTTCTTCATTTAAGTGTATTGTAATAAAGTTTACTTAAAATCTTGTAAAAAGTTAGGTTCATTCTGATGCTCCCAGGCTGGGGAGTGTAAGATGTGGTGGGCACAAGCCTTGCTGATTAAAAAGGCTTAAAATAGGTTGAGAATTTTCAGGGGAAAGAATGCAATATCACATCAGTAGCTTTTTTTTGAATTAGGGACTTATATAATTGACTCCCTTTTGCCAATCTTTAATGGCAGAGATCTGGCTTGAGGGAATTTCATATAAAAAGACTTAGAGTTATGTTTGATTATAAGATTGATATCAGTGTGGGGGGAAATTAGAAAAGCTAAGGGAGTATTAAGTAGAAATTTTTGTTTTCAGATTTAATTTTCTTCCAATTTAAGTTTTGAAAGTTTATGACCACTGGATTAAAAAACTTTTCTTCCAATTTAAGTTTTAAAAGTTTATGACCATTGGATTAAAAAACAATCTGTTTTCTATAAATCCTTTCAGTTAGGTACTTTCCTCCCATAAGGCCATGAACTAACTGAGGGCAGGGATGGCATATGAGTTTCCTATTAAACCTGAACTAAATTAACACAAATTCAGTGGCTTCAAAAAACACACATTTATTACCTTATGGTTCTGGATGTCAGAAGTCCAAAATGGGTCAGCAGGGTTCATTTGTTCTGAAGGTTCTAGGGAACAATCTTTTTGTTGTCGTTGCCTTTTCCAGCCTCTAGATGACTCTTAGATTCCTTCATCCAGGAGCCCCTCCTCCATCTTCCAAGCACACCACTCTAACCTCTGCCTCCATCATCACCTCACATTTCCTCTCTGTCTCTGACCCTTCAGCTTCCCTCCTGTAAGGAACCTTGTGATTACTTTGGGCCCACCCAGATAATCCAGGCTAATCTCTCAATCAGAAGATCCTTAATCATATTGGCAAAATCCCTTTTGCTGTGTAAGGCAACATAGTCACGGTTCCAGGGTTGAGGACATGGACACTTCTAGGGGACCCATCTTTGGTGGACCCCACAGAGGGGATCTATTTTGTCTTCACAAAGAGCACACTTCCTGGTTGTCAGTAGAAGTTCATTCGTATTTGTTGAATGAAGACATGGGTCTAAGATATTATTTGAGTGCAGTTTCTGAAAGAAAAGTGATGGTCTTGTCCTCCTCTCACTGACACAATTGGAGCTTTGGGTTCAGTTTTAGGTAAATGTACTATACAGAGTCAACTGACAGGCAGAGGATCTGGGGACAGGCATGGTGGCTCATGTTTGTAATCCCAGCACTTTGGGAGGTGTAGGTGGGAAGATCACTTGAGTCCAGGAGTTCAAGACCAGCCTGGGCAACATAGTGAGACCCGCCCCCATTTAAAAAAAAAAATGGGTGTAGTGGCTCTTGTCTATAGTCCCAGCTACTCGGGAGGCTGAGATGGAAGGATTGCTTGAGCCTGGGAAGTTGAGGCTGCAGTAAGCCAAGATTGTGCCACTGCATTCCAGCCTGAACAACAGAGAGTGAGACCTTGTTTCAAAAAGGAGCCTGGAACCAAGTCATTGAAGTAATGGTTGAAGGAATCATAGATGTTGGTCTGGAAGAGGGTTTGGATGGAGTAGATGGCATTAATTATCTTTAAACATTTGAACGAGTATTATTGGAAAGAATAAAAAAGCCTTTTTAAGCATACTCAATAATAGTAATAGCATTAAAAACAACAAAAATAAGCATTTCAGAGTTTACTATGCCTAAGGCACTGTTTTATCATTTTATAAATTCACTTAATCCTCATATCAATCTTCTGAGGTTCGCTATTACTGTGTTTTACAGATAAGGAAATTGAGGCTCAGAGAGGTTGTGCACCTTGTCCTAGGTCACACAACCATGAAGCAGCAAAGCTGGAATTCAATCTTTGGCATTCTGACTCCAGAGCCACCCCTGAAACCATATCACACTATGCTGTCTCCATGCCTTTAGTTCCAGAAGGTAGAAGAGGACTGGTGGCAGAAGAAATCCACCCCTGTATTTTTTTAGAAATCTGTATTTTTTAGAAATACGGGGTAGATTTCAAGGAAAAACACAACAATCAGAACTGCTAGCCAGGCACAGTGGTGTGCACCTGGGAGGCTGAGGCAGGAGGATCACTTGAGCCCAGGAGTTAGAGCTGTTTGGAGCTGCAATGAGCTATGATCACGCCACTGCATTCCAGCCTGGGTGACAGAGTGGGACCCTGTCTCAAAACAAAAACAACAACAAAAGCAAGAACTGCTTAGGAACAGAGTTTCTCTGCCTTGTAATGTTACTGGAAATGGTCAAGTAGGCTGTTATAAAAGGAATTCCCAAACTGGCTGGAGATGAGACCAAAAGGCAATAGAGACTCCACTGATTTTGAAATTCTGATTTGGGAACATATTTTTTTTCCATTACATATATAAGAAGGTAGGGAACAACCTTTGTGACATTTTATGTAATAAAGATCCATTGTGAAAGGTAGCTTTTCAACTAATTTTCCAGATTTTATTGATTAGTAACTATTTATAATATACCTGGTGTGCTAGATGTGTGCCCACCCCTTTCTAAGGTACCCTTGCTGCTCCTCCCATAAAGAAGTATGGTCTGTTTTCTCCTCCTTGAATCCGGGCTGGTCTTTGGACTTGCTTTGACCAATAATGTGTTCTGTGAACTCTGGAGCCTGGTCCTTAAGGGATGTTGCACCTCTTGCCTCTGTTCTTTTGGAACCCTGAAACCCCACTGCTGTGAAAAAGCCAAGTCTAGCCTACCAGAGGAGGAGCCCTGGCCTGGGGGAGAAGGGAGGTGACTTGTGTGAGCTGGCGCCAAATGCCAGACATGTGCATGAGGTCATCATGGCCCCCTCCAGCCCCAGTGGAGTTGTGTGGTGACAGAAGTCACATGAGTGACCTCAGGAGGGACATGAACAGAACTGTCCAGACTGCCATCCCACAAAATCCTTAAAAAGAATAAATGTTCATTGTTCTAAGGCATCACATGTTGTGATGGTTTCTTATGCAGCAATACATAACTAATACATAATATGTTGGTGCGGATGTGGAAGTAGTGGGTATATATTTTAAACTATTCTGTAATTAGACTTTTTTCCCCACTCCAGTGCACCTCTTCCAGTCTATCTAGTCATTCTTCTGTGTTGGTGAAACCTTTCTGGGTTTGGAGAAGTGTTTCCTCTTAGTATTATGTGGGTTGAAGAATAAGTCTTTGTAAGACTCTTAAATGGGGACTGGGCACAGTGGCCCACACCTGTAATTCCAGCAGTTTGGGAGGCTGCGGCGGGAGGATCACTCGAGGCCAGGAGTTCAAGACCAGCCTGGGCAACATGGCAAAACCCAGTCTCTACTAAAAACACAAAAATTAGTGGGGCAGCACACTCCGGCCTGGGGGATAGAGCAAGACTCTGTCTCAGAAAAAAAAAAAAAAAAAAAAAAAAAAGACTCAAGTGGGGTTTGGAGAGAATTGTGATATGGGAATCTGGACTTGGTGGTTTTCTTGGAGAAAATCATGTAATTTAGAGTCTACAAAATGGGATTCAGTTTCATGAAAATTGGACCCTGGAAAAGGCAAAAGTCTCATACCACTTTTTCCGAATATGCTAGAATATTGCACTACTATTTCATTTTCTTTAAAGCCGTTGTCATTTCAGTGGGCATGTGCTTCTTTCACTTTTATTGCTTGTGGTTTCCAGAGTGCTCATTTGTTCCTGAATTTAGAGCTATTTCAATTTTACTCTTATCTCTGCATAACTGCTGACTTTCCCCTCTTATTTCCAAGGTAAATCGGTTAGGTTTAGTTTGCCTTTTTCAGTAAATCTTTTAAGGAATGTATGTGAGTTAGATATTTCATGTGTATTTTGATTACATTTTATTGATTTAAATTTTTTTATCAGAGAGTGTCTAACGTTATGCATAACGTTTAAAAATTCTATTACATTTAGACCACTTATATTCTAGCTTTCCTAATGGATTGATTTCATTATAGATTTTGGAAAAAATGAGTCCAGTACACTCTGTAAGAATAGTGAGGTGGCTGAGGGAAGGCTCTGGAGTTAGACTTACTGGGTATGAATCTAAGCTTTGCTGCTTACCAGCTGTGTGATTTGGGGCGGGTTTACTTATCCTTTCTGGGCCTTGGTTTCCTCTTGTGTTAAGTGAGGTTATCAGAAGCACCAACCTCAAAGGTTTGTTATGAAGATTAAGTGAGATAATACTTGTAAAGTGCCTTTTCAGCATAGGAAATCTGTAAATAGTACTTGTTATAGTACAGCTATTACTAAAGCATAAGAAAACTCAGTAGAGGGAAATCTTCATTTAGGACATTAAGCAGTGAGTCAGTAGAAGTGACGATGGTGATGCTGGTATGGAGGGATTGTTAGCTTAATGATGAGAGCTGTCTTGTTAAAGTTCTCTGGTGCATGTGAGTATTGGGTTATAGCCCATTTAGTGCTTGATATCAAGATTTAAAAGCAGAAAAAATTTAAAATGGAAGTGTTGGAATCCATTAGTTGCCTGCATCAGAAGTAAAGCTAAAGTATTTTTGAAATGATATTGGAAGTTGCTGGGGGAAAAGCATCTTGCAGCCGTTATGTTTATGTATGTTTCAGGCTTTGGCAAGGTGTGCTGTACTTTTCTTCCAAGATCAAGGAACAGGATTTCTGCCTGTATGACAGTGGGGGTTGGGAATTTTGGTTCTAATTTTTGCTCCATTGCTGGCTTCTCTGTCCGTGGGTAGATCGCTGCTTCTTCCTGAGCAGGATTCTGATTCCTGAAAGGGACCTAAAAACTTAGCCCTCCTGAGAGGATCCGAGTAGATGGCATCTTTGAAAGCAGGTGGAGTGTTAAATTCCAAAGTAAATGCAAATGCAAGTGGCTCCAGTATAGAAAAAGTTCTGTGAGCTGAGAGATTCTTGCCATTTTACAGCTAAGATTTTATTCTGTGGCCCTCTTGAGTTCTATAATTCCCAGATAAATATATTTTTTGAAATATTCAACCTTGGGGTGTTTGTACCCAATTTGGAGGTGGAGAAAGCTCCCTATTCCTCCAGTCTGAATTCCTTCCCTCTGATTCCAGGGAAAACTTTGCTATGATTTCCTTTAACATCTAGTATTAAATGCACGTTCTACCGCTTTGTCCTCACTTGCCTCAAAATTCTCACTCTTTTCAACAACATTTAGCTTCAAGATCCTGTTGTCTTACAGCTTTGGAGTTGCTGTTTTATCTTCTTCATCTTCCTCTTTTTTCCCCCTACCAGCTTCTGGACTATTTTGATGCCAAGGACAACTCAATTTTTCCCCATCTGTGTGGCTTGGTTCCAGCACTCTCTCCACTTTCACTAAGGGCCTAAATCATCAACCTCCCTGCCTCTTGGGTCTACCACAGCATCAAGGGGCTGCTTTGTAGAGCTTCATTCAAATAATTTTATGTACTGGCTTGCAAGCCTGAGGTTTCTGCAGGAAATAAAATTTAAACATGAAATCGTATGTTTTAAGACTCCTTACCACTTGGCTCCTGTTCTCCCTTCCCTGAACCATCCACACTTTATCTTCTTTACAGTTCCGACCAGTATTCCCACACTGGGGAAGTGTTCTTAGACACATCTCACCATCACACATCCCTACAACCCTCCTTCACTATTACATATCAATAGTGCAATCTCATTTGTGTAGATTAATCAGGTAGACTGCTACTTAAACACAGGCTGTGTCCCTATAGATTGGCCGTTTTCTATAGAAATGATGCTGTAAGTGGTGATGACTTTTCTAGGCTATCTCACAGCTACCCACTTAGCTGATAATGTTGGTGCAGGACTGACTGCATGAAAACAGAAAAGAAACATCACTTACACATTTGAGTAAGAACCTCCTTGATTTCAGCCTGATTGCTCTGCCTAAAGAGGGACATGCTTGTTTAGAGTATGAGAAATGGAAACTTGGTAATTTTGTGAGAGAGTTTTTGGGAACCTCTAAGGGCCTGGACATTTTAAAAAGGTTCCAGTTATATTCCCAAATATATAGTTTTCCTTTTCTTTTACATTGTGTCATAAATCCCTTAAGACATATCTACTCTGATTTACTTTCTGGCTGCACAGCTGAAATAAACAGGGAAAACAAAGTAGGGAAATAATTTTCCTAAGATAAGTGGGCGAGTGTTGAAGGCCGAAAGAATGAGGGTCGTGATCAACTCAGTATACCACTGGAGACTATATGAGTAAACAGCAAACTGTTTCTCATGAAAGCAGGTTGTTGGCAAACTGACAAACTGTGTCTGCCTCCCAGAAAGAATGCTGGGGGGCAGTCACCACCCAGGCACAGTGTTTCTTGTGATTAGGCAAATCTGAAGCCTGTTAGCAATAACGTGAACCTGTGATCAATCAAGCAGCTGACCAGTCATTACCTCCTCCTCCCTGCTCTTTCTGCCCAATAAAAACAAAGGGCTGTAGAAGCTCGAGGTTGCTGCCTTTGCTCCCTAGAAGCAGGGAGCTCTCTTCTTCCCCTGGCCCCTTCCTTTAAAATAGTTACTTTTAAGTTTTCATTTCTGCCTTCGTCCTCCTTCCTTCAGTCTCCTAATGACTGTCTCAAGTAGTAACAGTAGTGACTGTCGTAGTGACAGTCTCAAATAGTAACCATTGCAGTCAGCTACAGGCAAGAGTTGAAAAGAGAGTGTGTGAGGAAGAAAGCTCTGTTAAGGAGGATGGGTGAGTGTCTGTGTGGTGGTGGTGTTTCGAGGTGGCATTCGTGTAATGGAGAGGTGAAAATGAAAGTGGAAAGTACTGCCTGTCATTCCCTTGGGAGTAGCAGAGACGTAGGTGGTGAGGAAGAGGCACCGGGCTGAAAGCCTGCGGGTGGTCCCCGGGGATAGTTTGCTTGCTGTCCAGGGTGGCTTTGGATTGGGCGTCAGAAGAGGAATGAGACATTAACGAAATCCCTGGGGATGCCAACTTCCTGAAAGAGGTCCAGATGCACGTAGGATGGGCATACCCCAGGAAGTTCAGCCAGATTTCTTTGATTCAGGGAGAAAATCAGGGTCAGGGCTTAGGTAGGCTCCTGATGAGTGAAATTCACTAACTAGTAACTACTAATGTTTGTTGAGTGCTTATTCACTGCCAGGCCCTGGGCTAAGCATTTTACATTTAACCCCTTCAACAACCCTATAAGAAAACATCTGGGAGGCCGTTATCTACCCGTTTCCTTAACCAATAAATGACACAGCCTGGGACTCTCCCTGCACCAGCCCACCCCTCCTCCCTGAACCCCACAGGTGGGTTTGGTGCCAGAATGTATCACTGTGCTGTCAAGTGGAGACTATTTGGTTCAATTCCTAAATTTTGGGGGTGAGGGGACAGCTAGTTTCCCTGCTTAGTTACCTGGTGTTTTGCCGCTAGTTACTATGTATCTCTGTGTATTTGTCTACAAAACATAGAGCATTGTTGAAACTATGTTATTGTTTCATTGAAACAATGTTATTGTTTCCTTATACCACTGAGTAGAAGAAAATGGAGTTTCTGCTGGGGCCACTGTCTGTGGAGTTTGCACATTCTCGCTATGTCTGCAGGGGTTTTCTCTGGGTACTTGGTTTCCTCCCACATCCCACAGCTGTGCCCATTAGGTGAATTGGTGTGTCTAAATGGTCCCAGTGTGTGAATGTAACTGAGTGTCCTATTAAGTTTTTCTGTGATGGCATCAAATGCCTGTTGATGCTCATCTGTCCAAGGCAGGGGGCTCTGAATCTAGTCCCTTTTAAAGGCCTCATAAAGTGGCTTAGCCATCAACCCCAAATTTGGAATTCAAATTCAACAAAAGCCAGACATTCCTAGAAATCCCTGCAATTGCCTCCCGTTTTGGGGAGCCTTTGGGGCCACTGTTATCTGCTTTCAGTAGGGTCTTTAGGCTCCTTCAGCCTGAAGTCGAGGTTCCAGAGACTAGACCTTGAAATAGTACAGGCACCTGTGAAAATCTCCCCTACCAGGAGATGGCTTTGAGGGTACAGTTAATTTACAACCCAGCTGAGCCCCAGATGTTGCCAGCCCGTTCACAAGATGGAGCAACAATTCAAGACGAGTCATCGGAACAAGTCATGCCGGCATCGGAACAAGTCATGCCGGCCTGCACTGCCTCACCCCATGCCGCAACTTGCTTCCCCTTCTTAAACCTTTGCACTTTGCTTGGAAATTTGAAGTGGTTCCATTAAGGCAAGAGTCTAGACCGTCTTCCCCATGGCTAGCTTTGGTCTGTAATAAAGTCACTTTCTTTCTGCCATACCTCTATCTTGCTAATTTGTTTTGCAAGTGGTGAGCAGCTGAACCTGTGTTTGGTAACGAGTGTGGGGGAGTGAGTATGAGTGGGTTCTGCGCTGGGATGGCATCCTGTCCAGGGCTGGTTCCTGCTTTGCATCCTGAGCTGCTGGAATGGGCTCAGCTACCAGAGACCCTAAATTGGAACAAGTGGGGTGGAAAATGAATGAATGAATACAAATTAATAAAAATTTGTAAAGTCTATGATAATCATACAAATGCATGACAAAAAAAATGTAGTATGAAAGCGCTCAGTGAGCCCACCCTAATTGTAAATGTTTTGAACTGCATGGTGGCAGGAGGTGCTCCTTATAATTTTTGCTTTGCAAACATTTTATTCCTTGGTTTAACCGACCACCATCACAACTGCCATCACTTGCTGATTCACCAAACTTGGGTAAATAATGATCTTACCTGTGCTTATTAATCTTTAAGTGTATGTGTATAGCTCTTGTTTATTTCAGTGTTTACTATTAGAAGTGTTTTGGTCTTTATTTAGATGTATGATGTTTTTGTGACCAGAAATATGCAGTAGGAACTTACTTTTTGCTTATATCAATTAGCCTATTGTAAAATTAGTAGCATTATACATTGTTTTGTTTAAAGTTACAATTTCCAAGACCCTACTGGTGATGTTCAGTAAGGACTCACTGTACAATCCAGCTAAGAGCAGCACTAAGCTGGGTGCAGTGGCTCACGCCTGTAATCCTAGCACTTTGGGAGGCCACGGTGGGCGGATCTCCTGAGCTTAGGAGTTTGAGACCAACCTGGGCAACAACAACAATAAAAAACTAGCCTGGCATTGTGGTGCATGCCTGTAATCCCAGCTACTCAGGAGGCTGAGGCAGGAGAATTGCTTGAGCCTGGGAAGTTGAGGCTGCAGCGAGCTGAGATCATGCCACTGCACTCCTGCTTGGGCAACAGAGCAAGACCCTGTCTCCAGGAAGAAAAAAAAAAAAAAAGCAGCACCAAAATGAAAAATTATTAAACCGAATTTTCTAGTTCCCTGAGGATTAAATCCTTAATGCAGGAGGATTGTCTCAGATAGAATGTCCCTGAAAAGCATCTAATGGCAGGCCTTCTAAAACTTTCATTCAGTCTACAAGATCATTTGTGTTCAAATTTCAGTCGCCCAATTAGGAGATCAGCTTTTTGCTAATCAGATTCTTCATGAGGCAAAGAGGTCATCCGATGTAATACCAACATCTTTTGACAGGCGAGACATTAAATTATAAGCCAAGAAGTTAAAATTACCTTCCCACTAAAGGGAAGACTACCAAATTCCTGAAAAGTTCCAGAAAGGAGTCTTGTTATTCTAAAGATGAAAGTATTTAAAAATAAATTGTGAATAGAAATGGATAAAGCTAGAAGCAGTTCTGAAAAATAGTAAGGAACTTGAGAAAGTGTTGTTGAAATACTAGGGCTTAGGCTTGTGTTTTAAAGCA
The DNA here is from genome assembly GCF_000001405.40 of Homo sapiens. Lineage (NCBI taxonomy): Eukaryota > Metazoa > Chordata > Mammalia > Primates > Hominidae > Homo > Homo sapiens. The sequence continues at coordinate 210,346,569 of NC_000001.11, forward strand.
TGAATGATTGCTTCTGGATCTCTTAGGTTGCAGGAAAAGTCCAGACCAAACTTTCTGGGTGACTTTTAGGTAACGAAATGGGGCACTCTGGGTGCAAGACTGCTTATTTCTGAAATCGTGGTTTATCAAGGCTGAAGTTTATTTCCCTTCCTGCTCTGTCTCCCAGTGGTCTGAAGAAAGGAGTTTGTGTGTGCGGCAGATTCTAAGCCAGGCTCTAAGTCTGAGTAACTGTACACTGGCATTAATGGGATTGGCCATGGCAGAGTGGAGGGGCAGGGGCCTGGGTCCAAAGACTTGGCTTTGAGCCTTGGCTCAGTTATTTACTTATTTGTTTACTCACATATTTAGACAAAAATTGTACATATTTATGGTGTACAATGTGATGTCTAGCTATACATTGTGAGATGATTAAATCAAGGTAATTAACATACCCATCACCTTACCTGCTTATCATTTTATGGTGAGAACATTTAAGATCTACTCTTAGCACTTTTCAAGAATATAATACATTATTGTTAACTATAATCACCATGCTGTATAATAGATCCTCAGAATTTATTCATCCTGTCCAACATCTTTTAACCAACATCTTCCCCACTTCCCCCGCCCCAGCCCCTGGCAACCACTTCTGTGAGTTTGACTTTTTTTAGGTTTCACATATAAGTGAGATCATGCAGTATTTGCTTTTTTGCTCTGGCTCAGTTATTTCTGGCTCTGTGACCTCATCACATTTGTCATCTATAAAATGCCTACCTCCCCTGTTCCACTTCCACCTACTTCACCAGGCTGTTGTGAAAACAAAATGAGATAATGTGTGAATTCTGGGGTTTGGCATGACTGTCACATGTTAGAAGTACTTGGTGGGGTTGGTGGGAGGTGCTGCTTAAAATTTTGCTCTTATTTTGGCATCCACAATGAGACATACTTGAGAGGTTTAAATAAAGCAGTAAAGGCCATAAATGCGTTTAAATTTAGTGAACTCTTTGTTACTTGGAACATTTGGAATCATTTAATTTGCTGAATTTTAGGACCTAACTTTCCTATACCTTCTCTATTACTTAGAGTATAGTCATGGCTGCCATGATGGAGAGATCTAGAATAGGAGAGGCTTAAACAACCTAGAAATGCATTTCTCTTTCCTGTAACAGTCTAGATCTAAGTAGTCTGGGGCACTTTGGGGCTTGGGGGTGGTACCTGGATTTGGGGACTGAGAGGCCTCTGTCTTGTCCATGTGGCTTTCACCTCTTCATCCACGGAGGCTGTTCCAATTCTGTTCAACAGGAAAGGGAGGGAAAGAAAGAGATGGCCACAGCCATGTCCCTTCACTCACACCCTTTTGAATGGAGCTATTCAGGTGTCCACACTTAGCTACAGTGTAGTGTTGGTGTCCAGAGGAAATTTTAATTGATGTGTAAGAAGAGAGACTGAATTCTGAAAAGGGGTAGTGAGGGGCGGTGGGTAACAAGCAGTGTCTGTCACAGATGTCTGTGATTATGTCATTAACTGCCCTTTAAGAAATGTACAGATGAGGCCTGGCACAGTGGCTTGTGCCTATAAACCCAGCTACTCAGGAGGCTGAGGTGGGAGGATCACTTGAGGCCAGGAAATCAAGATCAGCCTGGGAAACATAGACCCTGTCTCCAAAAATACATAAATAAAGTGCATAGATGCATGGCAGACAGCTGATTTTAAGTTTTTATTTTATTATTGCTTTTAGAGAGGGGATCTGGCTATGTTGCCCAGGCTGGTCTCGAACTCCTGGCCTCAAGTGATCCTCCCATCTTGGCCTCCCAAAGTGTTAGGATTACAGGCATGAGCCACCATGCCTGGCCTATAGTATGATACTTGAAAGGGACAACAAGGATGGTGAACCTGTTGATTTAGAGGTTTGTATACTGTTTGTGCTTTTCAGACTTTTTGAAGCCATTTATTATTCACAGAGCACCTGGTAGTCCCTTCTTGCTACATCCCAGGCACTGTGCTAGGGGCTGGTGAGTCAGAGATCATGGTCCCTGCTATCTGAGGGTCCACTCCACAGAAGAGACAGGCATATTATGCAATGGGTAGAGAACTGTCTGATGTATACTCTGATGGGAGACTGTGGGAACTCCTAGGAAAAGACCTGACCCCTTTGACAGGCAGGATGCACATGTGTGGTGTATGTGTGCGTGTGTGTGTGTGTGTGTGTGTGTGTTGGATGCAGGATGGAGTAAGTTCACAGGGAGGAGGAAGCTTGATTGGGGTTATGTCTGTATCACCTTGAATAGTGATGGGTCTCCGGGAGTGTGAACTAACTGAATTGATGTTTAGATGCTGTTCTCTAGTGTCATGTTCATGGCTTAAAGTTTTGTCTCTGTTTCTCAGAAACTCTCAGCGTAGGCATCGGGAACCTTCGTGCCAAGGAGCCATGCTGCCCCGATGGGAACTGGCACTTTACCTACTTGCCTCACTAGGCTTCCACTTCTATTCCTTCTATGAAGTTTACAAAGTCTCCAGAGGTAAGGCCCCAAGCTTTTCAGACCTCCTATCAAACAAGGAAACTCCTGTCAAAAAAAGGAGCAGAGGTGGAAGATTCAAGAAGATGATCCAATAGTGTCAAGATGATGTGGGCCTTGATTTGCTTCCCCATGTCTTGGATAGTTTGAATCAGTGACCTGAGTCCATTGAGTTTTCTACCCTAAACCTAGGTCTTTTAGGTGATGCTGTGGCTTGTCTTCTATAATTGGTGGGTTTGATTCAAAAGCTATTGAAGGCCGTGGAGGGGATTTGCGTTCAGAATTCAAAGTAAACTCTTAAATTTCTCTTTCATCATTACTCCTCTGAGACATATTAGATCTGGGTTCGTTTTGTCTTCTTCTGTCATTTTTAGTGTTGCCTTTGTCTGAGTGTTGGAGATAAATCATCATCAGGTCACATTCCAGCCCAAAGGAAGGGGAATGGGGGCCCTCCTTTATTTTAGCGGCAGTTTGGCAAGGAGCACTAGTCACTCCTGCTCACACCCAACTGGCCAGCACTGAGTCCCACGGGCACAGCTGGGAGGCTGGGAAATAGTCTTTAGGTTGGTGGCTATGTGCTACCTAAAACTTTTTTTTTTTTTTTTTGAGACCTAGTTTCGCTCTTGTCGCCCAGGCTAGAGCAATGGTACCATCTCGGCTCACTGCAACCTCTGCCTTCTGGATTCAAGCAATTGTCCTACCTCAGCCTCCTGAGTAGCTGAGATTTCAGGTGCCCACCACCACGCCTGGCTAATTTTTGTATTTTTAGTAGAGACGTGGTTTCACCATGTTGGCCAGGCTGATCTCAAACTCCTGACCTCAGGTGATCCTCCTGCCTCAGCCTCCCAAAGTGCTGGGATTACAGGCGTGAGCCACTGCACCCTGTAGCTGGGACTACAGGAGTGCACCACCATGCCTGGCTTTAAAACTACTTTTAAAAAATAAAGTATATTGAAAATGGGAGGTGTCTATTCTTACACCAATACCATAATGTCTTGATTACCGTAGCTTTACATTAAGTCTTGAAGTTGGATAGAAGTCTTCTAACTGTTATTTGTGTTGTCTATTCTGGGTCTTTTGCCTGTCTGTATAAACTTTAGAGTCAATTTGTTGATATCTACAAAATAACTTTAGCCATAAAATAAAGATGTTTATAGCAGCTTTATTCATAATTGCTAAAAATTGGAAGCAATCAAGATGTCCTTAAGCAGCAAATGGACTAATAAACTGTGGTACATTCGGACAATGGAATTTGCCAGGATTTTCATTGTGGTTGCATTGAATCTATAGATTAAGTTGGGAAGAACTGACATCTTGACAATATTGAGTCTTCCTATCCATGAATATGGACTATTTCTCCATTTATTTAGTTCTTTGATTTCTTTCATGAGAGTTTTATTGTTTTCCTGATATAGATCTTATACATATTTTGTTAGATTTATAGCTCAGTATTTCATTTTTTGGGTGACAATGTAAATGATATTGTTTTAAATTTCAAATTCTACTTATTTCATTGCTGATATATAGGAAAGCAATTGATTTTGTTATAGCAATCTTGTTATTATAGCTTATTAATTCCAGGAGTTTTTCTGTCAGTTCTTTCAGATTTTCTACATAGGTAATCATGGCGTCTGCGAAGATGATTTTCTTTCTTTCTTTTCAATCTTATATACCTTTTCTTTTTTGTTGTTGTTGTATTGCATTAATTAGGGTTTCCAGTACAATGTTGAAAAAGAGATGAGAGGGCTTATCCTTGCCTTATTCCTAATTTAACTGGGGAAACTTCTGGTTTCTCACCATTAAGTATGACATTAGCTGTGGGTTTTTTATGGATGCTTTTTATCTAGTTAAGGAAGTTCCCCTCTATTCCTAGTTTTCTGAGAGCTTTTGTTATGAATGACTGTATTAGTTAGGGTTCTCCAGGGAAATAGAATCAATAGGCTACATATAGATATAAAAGGAGATTTATTACAAGGAATTGGCCCACACAATTATAGAGGCTGAGAAGTTCCATGATCTTCTGTCTGCAAGCTGTAGACCTGTGAAAGCCAGTGGTGCAATTCAGTTCAAGTCCAAAGGCCTGAGAACTGGAGTAGCCTATGATGTAAATCCCAGTCTGAGGGCAGGAGAGGATGAGCTGAGATGGTCTAGCTCAAGCAGTAGCCAGAAATAAGAGTGAATTCTTCCTTCCTCCTCCTTTTGTTCTATTTAGACCCTCAATGGATTGGATGGTGCCCACCTGCATTAAAGAGGGCAATCTACTGTATCTGATTCAAATGCTTATCTCATCAAGAAACACCCTCACAGACACCTAGAAATAGTGTTTAATCTGGGCACTCTTTGGCCTGGTCAAGTTGACACATAGCACTAACCAACACAATGGATGTTGGATTTTGTCAAGTGTTCTTTCTGCATCTCTTGATCAGTTTATTCTTCTTTAGCCTGGTGATGTGTTGGATTACATGATTTTTGTGTTCTGTGAGATTTTGACTTTAATATACCTGGACTGGACTCAGCTGGCATTTCTCCTGTTTCATGTATTGTCAGCTGGGGCTGCAGTCATCTGGTGGCTCGATTGGGCTCACTCATCCAGGGTGGCTCACTCACGTGGCTGGCAGTTGGTGCTGGCTTTCAGCTGAGAGCTCAGCTGGGGACTGTCAAGTGGAGTACTATGGTCCTCTCTAAATGGCTTCATGTGGCTTACATTTCTTACATTTATTACAGGGCAGCTGGGTTCCAGCTGTTGCACGTGCAGCCTGGGAAGTTATACAGGTCACTTCTGCCTCATTTATTGGTCAAAGCAAATCACAGGGCCAGTCCAGATTGAAGGGAAGGAAAGACTGCACCTTTTTACAGGTGGAGCAGCATGTAGAGGAAGAGTCTGATGGAGCCACCTCTGGAGTTTCTCTCTTCTATAATGGGTGTTATACTTCTTTACCCACATGAGGACACTGAGGCTCAAAAGTATTACTTGTCCAAGGTCATATATTTAATAATAGAAATAATAGAGCTGAAGCTTAAACCTAAGACTTTACAACTCTACTTCTTGTGTTGTGATAGCTTCTGGGAACGGGGCGAGGGGTTCCTTTGCGGATAGTACAAAACTTTTCTGCACCTTAACCTGTCCAGATGCTGTCATGCTGACCACCTCCTAGCCTGAAGCTTCTTTAATCCTTAATGCCTTTCCTTTTATTGTCAGTGCTGAAGTGTTTCTCAGGCCATTCCCAAGAAATATCTTCCTCAAATGCTTTTGCCAGTTTACCTCACGGGAGCCAGATCCCCATGCCATGCCTAAGTATGTTCAACTGATACAATGTTGAGCCTTCTTGGTTCCTCATCTCACTTTCTAATTCAGGAAAAAGTGCTACTTACCCACATTGTAGAAGTAGGTCACTGGAAAAATCGTCTTTACTCTGAACTTTTTTAGGGCATTCATGTCTGGAGCAAACGTGCTGCCTAGAATAGACTAGAGGCTCCAAGTGTATTTGTTCAGTGAAATGTCTCTGGTGGGCATCTGCGTGGCTACTCTCCTTGGGCACAGAGCAGGCATCTCATTCACTGCTGTCTCTATCAGCAGTAGTGGGGTTGTCACGTGGTTGGGGACAGCAGACTGATTTTAACAGCCTTAGTCAAATGGAATCTCTCAGCAAATCCACAGCAGGGACTCAACAGAATACCCCTTCTTCCCCCCAACTCTACCAAATTAGAATATCTTGAAGTCATATGGAAATATTGGGGTGGTGATAGTGATCCGCTATGCTGGCTGACCTCGCCCCTGGTGCTCTGCAGTACTGTGGCTAATCCACAGCTGTTGCATTAGGTTGGTGCCTTATGGTTTAGTAGACATAAAACTTTTTGTCTCTGTTTACTTTTTTTTTTTTTTTTAATAAGAGATGGAGTCTTGGTCTGTCACCCAGGCTGGAGTGCAGTGGCGCAATCTCGGCTCACTGCAACCTCTGCCTCCCAGGTTCAAGCAATTCTTCTGTCTTAGCCTCCTGAGTAGCTGGGACTACAGGTGCATGCCACCATGCCTGGCTAATTTTTGTATTTTTAGTACAGACAGGGTTTTACCATGCTAGTCAAGCTGGTCTCGAATTCCTGACCTGGGGTAATCCACTCCCCTCAGCCTCTCAAAGTGCTGGGATTACAGGCATGAGCCACCACGCCCGGCCCCTCTCTGTTTACATTTAATGTGAAAATGCAATGTACCATGCATCAGAAGGCTTGTGTGATAGGCCTTGAACGAATTGATGCCTCTGCCTAAAAGGATGCCATATATTTTTCTGGCCATGTCAATTTAATGCAATATTCGGAATAAAAACTATTGAATTCCCATCATGGAAAATCCCGGTGATAGAAGGAAGTCACCTGTTTTTTTTTTTTTTTTTTTTAAAAAAAAGCACCTGGGAGGGGAAGTCTTTGACTATTTCAGTTTACCACCTATTCGTTCTTATTTAAATGTTTTATTTCTTCTTGTACCCATCTTGACATTTTATAGCTTTCTAGGAAATCTATATACTTTATGTAGGTTTTCAGTTTGATTAGTATATTGTGGTTCTTAACTCTTACTTAAAAATTTTTTGGTGTTTCATTATTTTATATTTTATCTGCATCATCTTCACTCCCTTCATTTCCTCTTTCCACTTCTCCCTCCCTTCTATTTTTTCTTTCTTTGATCAACGGTGCCAGAGATCTTATTAATCTTTTCAGCATTTGGCTTTATTTTCTCAGTTGTTTCTTTTTGTTTTCTAACTCATTGATTTTTGCCCTTATCTCATTATTTCCTTCCTTATTGTTTCTTTAGGTTTGGTCTGTTCCTTTTTATTTCATTGTCATGAGTTGAATGCTTAGCTCATTTACTTTGTAAAGAATGTGTTTGGATTGTTGATTGTTTTTCTCAGAAAGATTTCTAGAAGAGGAGTTATAGAGTAAAACCACACAACCATTTTTCAGGTGCTTAATAGATGAACCCAGGCTGTTCTCAGGAAGGCTGGGCCAATTAACGCTTCCAAAGGAGGAGATCCATTTTTCTGTACTACTCTCAGCAAGTTGAGTGCTCTTCAATCCATCTCAAGTGTATTTTAGTATATGATGTGATATTTTTTCACAAATAGATAACTAAACATAATGTCTTTTTTTTTTTTTTTTTTTTTTTTTTTGAGACAGAATCTTGCTCTGTTACCCAGGCTGGAGTACAGTGGCACGATCTCTGCTCACTGTAACCTCTGCCTCCTGGATTCAAGCAATTCTCATGCCTCTGCTTCCTGAGTAGCTGGGATTACAGGTGTGTACCACCACACCCTGCTAATTTTTGTATTTTTAGTAAAGACAGGGTTTCTCCATGTTAGTCAGGCTGGTCTCAAACTCCTTGGCCACCCAAAGTGCCGGGATTACTGGTGATTATGATAATTATGATGCAATCTTGATCATGTACTGAGTTCTTTTGTTAAAATTTATTTTTATTTTTTATTTTATAAAAAGAGAGACAAGCTCTCTCTATGTTGCTCAGACTGGTCTCAAACTCCTGGACTCAAGCGATCTTCCTGCCTCGGCCTCCCAAAGTGCTGAGATTACATACATGAACAAGGGTGCCTGGCCTCACATATTAAATTCTTATATTCTGTTTAATTGATTTCTCAATCAATTCTTACATCAATACTGTGCCGTTTTAATTATTTTTGATTTACAAAATGCCTAAGTATCTGGAGTAAGTTATTAGTTATTGGTTCTTTGTTTTCAGATCTTTCTTAGGCTGTTCTTACTGGCTTATTCTTCCAGATATATATTTGAAATTGGCTACTTTCAAAAAATCATTAGGGTTTTAATTAGAATTGTAATAAACTTATAAATTAATTTGTAAATAATTGATATTTTTATAATGTGTCTTTCTATCCAATAATATATTTTTTCTTTGCTTATTCAAAATCTTTCATCACTTCCCTTAATGAAGGTTTGTGGTTGTCTTCATAATAGATTCTGCTAAAACTTAAGATTATTTCTGAGTCTTTTCCTTTCTCCTTTTGTGATTGGGATATTTTACAAATTTTCTAGCTGATTATTTCTGATCTACACTAAAGGTATTTATTTTGGTTTATGTATTTTATATTTCAGCAATTTATTGAATTCTCTTATGTTCCATTGGCTTGATTTTCCTTGTCCTTCTATTTAGATAATACCATCCACAGATAATGATAGTAGTTTTGCTTCATTTGTTTTTGCTTTGCTAGGACATCTAGAACAATACAATAGTTGAATGTTAACCTGTTTTAATTCTGACTTTAATGGAAATCTCTGTATAGTGAAAGGTTGAACAAGCTTTACTTACTTGTTTTTAAAAACTCATGTTAAGGAATCCTAGCCCCTTTAAATTGGCAATAAGTGTTGAATTTTATTTGTTTTTAAAGTACCTATTCCTTTTTTGACCTATTGATACTATATTTTAAAGTCATCAGTTTTCCAGAGGCAAACCATACGGATTCATTCCTATTACAAACCTACCGTGACCATGGTATTTTTAAACATACTGCTTTTTTCCCTAGGGTTAAAAAATATATGGATTTCTAAGTGAGAGTGGTTGGCCTGTAATTTTGTTTTGTCTCATCCCCAAATTTCAATCTTGATATCCTGTTAGCTTTATAAAACAACTGGAGAGGATTCCATTTTAAAAAATATTATGGAACTGTTAAAGTAGTATATGAAATGTCTGCATCAGTGTCTGATGTTATTCACTTCTAAGTTTGTCTAGGCATGAAATCTCTTTGGGAGTAGATTCATTGAAAACTTTTCAGTACCTTTCAGGGTTATTGGTATGTTTTCATTCTTAAGTCAGTTTGAGCAATTCATATTTTTCTATTTCATTATTATTATTTTTGAGACAGTGTCTCATCCTGTTGCTCAGGCTGGAGTGTAGTGGCTCAGTCCTAGCTCGCTGCAAACTCAAGTGCTTGGGCTCAAGTGATCCTCCAACCTCGGCCTCCTAAGTAGCTAGGACTACAGGCACACAGTACCACACTTGCACACTTGCTTGGCTATTTTTTTTTTTTTTTGGAGACAGGGTCTTGCTATGTTGCCCAGGCTGGTCTTAAACCCCTGGCCTCAAGCCAAATCCCAAAGTCCTGGGATTATAGGCATGAGCCACTATGCCTGGCCTGTGAAAATTATTTTCTAATGAAAAGCAGCTACCCTAGAACCTTCTGATTTTGCAGAGCCCAGGCACATCTTCTTTTATGAAGCAGCTATGTTCCTGAAAAGTTGCATATTAATGACATTTTTATAAATGAAATTGTGCTTCCCGTTGATTTGCGTTTTCATGTCACAGGCTTTTTTTTTCATTTTTTTAATATTCAGTGATATATCTGTAGTTAATGTTTCTTTAAATAAACTCTAGCACCGGGGAGCCCTCATATTTAAAGAGCTTTTGCTTTTTCTGGTGCGAAGTATTTATTTGAATCACTACTCCCTGTTTCTTTGTTTTTATATAGTTGTTCTTAAAGTGGGATACAGCTAGTATAACGGAACACATTCACCTTCTACCTTTTGTTTATTTCTTTATAAACCTGTGGCCTTCATTATTACTAAGCTCGATTTATGAAGAAAGGATACAGAAGCTCATTTATAGATTAGTTCTTTCTTTTACATTCTTCATGCAACATGCTAACCTCTTACGGGTCATGGGCTTTGTTAGGAAGTAATTTTTCCCACTGACTTCTGTGATTAGAGGAACGTGGTTGCAAGATGATCAGTAACTCTGAAGAACCCAGTCCAGGGTGGGAAAACAGAGGCCACTGGTCCTGTCCTTGAACCAGGTGTCCTTGCTCTTGGAACCAGGTGAGCTGACTGAGTATGTCTGGGGCCACCAGGGGCCCTTCAGTTTACAAGGCTTTGTGAAAAGACCCAATTGAACTTCTCCTGTAGGAGCTGGGAACTGGACAGCCTGTCTTGAAGCATTAACAGTGAGTGTTGTGGAACAACCAAGGCTCCAAACATTCTGTTTGGTGATGCTTCACATTATATTTGGCTGTGGTTTCCATTGTTATCTATGGCCAGGGTCTTAGGAAACAGTTGAATCACTGTCTTCCTATTGGAATGGATCCCAAGTCTTGTAGCCTATCCCTTCCTCCTTGCACTGGCATTTTCCTCCTGGGTTAACACTGGTCCTTCAGGTAGGTGTTGGGGGTTCAGGAGCACTACCTCAAAACATGGCACCTTGGCATTTGAGAAAACAGCAGAAGCAGGAAAGTTACTCCCAACCTTTCTCCCCTGAAGCAGGTCATAAAACTCTCATGTGAGAGGTGCCTTCTCTATACACAAAAGAAGGGAACATCCTTATCTCAGAAGATGAAGGATCACACAGAAGAAATAGGTCTTGCTAAGTTCCCCTCAGTTTATTACCATTAGAACATACTCACTTTATCCAAATCTATTTCTCCATGACTGTCCAATCTTCATCAAACCTAGCATTAAAATACACAAATTTGGCTGGGTACGGTGGCTCACGCCTATAATCCCAGCACTTTGGGAGGCCGAGGCGGGTGGATAATGAGGTCAGGAGATCAAGACCATCCTGGCTAACATGGTGAAACCCCGTCTCTACTAAAAATACAAAAATTAGCCGGGTGTGGTGGCGGGCGCCTGTAGTCCCAGCTACTTGGGAGGCTGAGGCAGGAGAATGGCGTGAACCCGGGAGGTGGAGCTTGCGGTGAGCCGAGTTCGCACCACTGCACTCCAGCCTGGGCGACAGAGTGAGACTCCATCTCAAAAAATAAAATAAAATAAAATTTAGCCATTTCTTAGTCTTCATTTCCTTACTAAGGCTCCTGTATCATGTGAAACTTACATTAACTACATTTGTATGCTCTTCTCTTGTTAATGTGCCTTTTGTTATAGGGGCCTCAGTCATGAACCTAAGAAAGTTGGAGGAAAAATATTTTTTTATCCTTACATAGGAGAGTGTTGGCTTCCAGGTAATCTGCTTTCTTAAGACTTCTAATAAGCCTCCCACAATGACATGGGGCAGAGCCTAGGCTAGAGAGCATTTGTGGGCAAGCCCTAGTGTTAGACTCCACAGCTCCTCATTCCTTCTGTTTCTCAGCTGGTGCTCCATGTCAGACCCCTGAACATGCACAGAGCTTATGGCTTACTCTTGGCTTGAGAGTTTCCATTTCAGTCCAGGGTGCTTCTACTTCTCCCAGAAGCTCTAAAGTTTTCCATGCAAATTAAGCACCTGGTGGTCTGCCCCTGCAGACTCAGAATTTCTCAGGTGAGTGGCAGATGAGCAGCCCCATTTGGGAGTTTTGAAGCACATTTATGCAGTGTCTCCTTTTACATCCATTGACATATCTGATTTGCTTTTCCTTGGGTTATTTCTAAATCACTTTTTTATTCCTCAAGTGGAAATTGGAAGAGGAAAGAAGGAGCCCCTAGGCCTCCAGAGTGTCATGAAAAGCCACCCCCTTTCTGTAGGATAATCTGCAGAAGAATATTTGAGAGTTGCTTACCGCTAAATTCTCCTATCATTAGAAGCCCGTCTTTTCTGTGCCCCCTTCCCATTCTCAATGACTACCACAGTCTATTGTACTCATGGCTTCCTGGAGAAATAATCAGTAGGAGCTGATTGGAGTTTTGCCAATGTATAGAAACAGCGGGGCACGTGCCCCATGACTGGGTGTGCTGCTCCCTGGCAGTGGCTTGTGTCAGACTAGGGTGTGTGTGTGTATGTGTTTTCTTCTGATTATTGCCCTCTTACTACACACACCCCAGAATTAATTTCCCATCAAAATGCTGAGAGTGAAAAGGGGTAGGTTAGTTAGAGGTTTTAAGTAAATGGTTTACCACCACAGCTCATTGGCAGCGATTAAAATGCAAATCCTCTCACTCAGTAGGTAGGATGGAGCTTTGATGTATCCTTTTGTGGAAGGGAAGAATCAACAGCTGACATGGTAATCAGGACTCATCAGCAGAAATTGCTTCATTTCTATGCTCTCAGGCAGTTTTGTGGAGCACTGAATTTGGGGAAATAGAACCAGGGCACTGGAAGAAAGAGCAGGTTCTGCCAGACAGTCCTGTGTGATGGGGAGAGAATTCCCAGGCACAGAAGGCTTCTTTTCTGTTTGTAGCAGCCTCTTGCTTGACTGTATTTGACTTAGGATAAAAACTCCAGTTCTGCTCAAAGAATGAAGGTCTGAGGTCCCTCCCTAAGAATAAAACTGCCTGTGCCAAAATTATAAATATAACTGCCTTTGTAGGACTAACAAATTAGTCATAAAATTAGAAATTATGGCTTAGGAGTTATGTAGCTAGAGGCCACAAGATTCTAAACCATCCCAATTGCTCCTAGGGAGAACATCACTATTGTAAAACCTAAGCTTGGTGCTTGAGATATTTTGCAGACTTTGTACTGGAGAGATCAGCTGGTGCCACCCAGATCGATGAACTGGCTCATTTGATCTTGCGGCTCCCACTCAGGAACCAACTCAGCACAGCAGGACAGCTTTGACTCCCTATGATTTCATCTCCGACCTGACCAATCAGCCCTGGCCCTCTACCTGCCAAATTATCCTTAAAAAACCCCAGTCTCACAAGGTCAGGAGTTCGAGACCAGCCTGACCAACATGGGGTTTTAGTAGAAACCCCGTCTCTACTAAAAATACAAAAATTAGCTGGGCATAGTGGTGCACACCTGTAATCCCAGCCACTTGAGAGTCTGAGGCAGAAGAATCACTTGCACCCAGGAGGTGGAGGTTGTAGTGAGCCAAGATCGCACCACTGTACTCCAACCTAGGCGACAGAGCGAGACTTCTGGGAAAAAACAAAAAAAAAACCCAGTCTCCGAATTTTTGGGAGACTGATTTCGGTAATAATAAAACTCCCATCTGACATTTAGGCAGCTCTGTGTGAATTAAATTTCTCTATTGCAATTCCTCTGTCTTGGTAAATCTGCTGTATCTAGGCAGTGGGCCGAATGAACCCAAAGGGCGGTTACCAGAAGATATAATCAGAAATTCTGAGGGTTACTGCAGCTTGTGGAAAGATGTCCTGCCACAGGTTCTCCTGTATCAACTACATTCTGCAGCTGGGATTTTCAGCTAACTTAAGACAATTTGAAAACAGTGAGTTCCAAACAGGTCATGAATGGATTTAAGTTACAATTTAAAATTTATGTCAGGGAGCATTTGTGTCAAGAAATGAGACAAAGGTGATTTATATGAATTCTCCAAAACATGAGGAAAGGTTGTTTTTGTGTTTTTTTTTTTTTGTTTTGTTTTGATATGAAGTTTCGCTCTTTTTGCCCAGGCTGGAGTGCAATGGTATGATCTAGGCTCACCACAACTTCTGCCTCCTGGGTTCAAGCAATTCTCTTGCCTCAGCCTCCCGAGTAGCTGGGATTACAGGCGCCTGCCATCACGCCCAGCTAATTTTGTATTTTTAGTAGAGATGGAGTTTTTCCATGTTGGCCAGGCTGGTCTTGAACTCCTGACCTCAGGTGATCTGCCCACCTTGGCCTCCCAAAGTGCTGGGATTACAGGCGTGAGCTACCGCGCCTGGCCGAGGACAGATTTTTGGTCTAGAGCTATGCTGTCCAATATTGTACTCGTGGGCCACATCTGGATAGGGAGCATTTGAAATGTGGCCAGGCCAAATTGAGGTGTGCTATAAAGATGACATGTAAATAGGATTATAAAGAATTAGAAAAAGGGAATGTAAAATAACTCATATAACTGTTTAATATTGATTTTATATTGAAATACAATTTTGGATATATTGGAATAAATAATTAACTTCACTTTTTTTTTTTTTTTTTTTAACTTTGTGGCTATTAGAAACTTTAAAATTTTAAGTGTGGTTCGTGTTCTATTTCTGTTGGACAGCACTAGGCAAGATTTCATTATAATTCTCTTGTCTGCTATGGGGTTCCTTTCTCCCACTAGAGGGAGATATGTTCCAGCCTCAGGAAATCTGAGGCTAGCGTGTAAATGCCACTGCTTTTGAATGAACTCTTAAAGAAGCACCAAAAAAAAGAGCTTAAGTTTTTGCTTTGTTTTAATCCCGTGTAACTCTGATGTTTCTAAAGGTTGCAGTTTCTGTGAAAGTGAAGCCAAAACAGAAGCGGGAAGAGGCAGAAAGTTTTTCTACCCTCTTTGCCTTAATGAATTCAGAGGTTTCTGTTACTTCTTTGTTGGATCACAGTAACTTGTCATTTGTTTGCCAATTGTTCCTTTGGACTTGAGTCTGTGTGTCTGTGTGCAGTGCAACACGCAAATAGGTGCGTGCACGCACACACAATGGTCTTGCGTGCAGCTGTCACAGAGAGGACCAGTGCCCTACTGCAATCACACACCTCCATGGCACACCCAGATCACTTGGATTGCACTGTGGCTGGGGCTCCTGGAGGTGTGCGGTGTGTACCCTGGGCCGGTTTGCAAGCCCCTCTCTTTTCTGTTGTTACTAAATGTTGCCTGTGGTCTGACGCTTGGCTTGCTGTTTGCATCTGGTGTGTGTGAATCTGCCCCTTGATCCTACTCTGAAACCAGCATTATTTCATGATTATATTTTAGTGACAGCACTCTCTCCTGGGTTTCCTTCTGGATAGCTCCTTTTTGGTTTCTTGAGGTTTTTATACTTTTGTTGATCTGATATGCATTAATATTTCCCCATTCTTGTCTATGTACTCTTTGTCCTTTTTTGGGGGGGAATCTCAGCCATTCTGGTGGTTTTGTCCCACCCTTATACTGAGAACTTGTAAGTCTTTATCTCCAGCTTAGAGCATTCCTTTGAGCTCCACCCGCATCCATGCAGTTGCCTACAGGACATCGCACAGACCTCAGCATCGGCTCCCACAGCATTCCTTCCTGCATCATGGCACTGATCAGCACTATCATAGTTTCTTATTCTGTGTTTGTCTATCTTCCCCAGCATACAGTAAGCCCCAGGAAGACAAAAGCCACGCCAGTCTGGTTCCATTTCATTGCTAGTATCTTGTACTGTGTCTGGTTACTGTACCTCCTCAAGAAGTGTTGGCAGATTTTATTTTATCTTTTGTTTCAAATCAACTGTATTGTTTACTTACAAACATGCTCATTACCATTATATGACTATTTTATTATATTTTGTTAGCATTATATCATAGCGGATCCAATCACCATAGTTTTGTGGCATAGTCTGTGTCAAAATTTCTTTTTTTTTTTTTTCTTTTCTTTTTTGAGATGGAGTCTTGCTCTTGTTGCCCAAGCTGGAGTGCAATGGCATAATCTTGGCTCAATGCAACCTCTGCCTCCCAGTTGAAGCAATTCTCCTGCCTCATTCTCCTGACCATGCCACCACACCTGGCTAATTTTTGTATTTTTAGTAGAGATGGGGTTTCACCACATTGGTCAGGCTGGTCTCAAACTCCTGAACTTGTAATCCGCCCGTCTTGGCCTCCCAAAGTTTTGGGATTACAGGCGTGAGCCACCATGCCCGGCCCAAAATTTCTAACAGCGTGTGCACATGGGCCATTTGCAGTAACCCTTCCCATGTTTTCCTGTGTTGGAAACTCTTCTCCTTTGCTGTCTCCTTTTGTGACCCTTATTACAAGCCAAGTTTCCATCAGTGGCTCTACATATTTCCAGGAACTTAGGTCACAGAACACTGGAAAGCAAGGTCAAGGAGTGTGGTATGTTTCCGTGCCTGCACCTTAGTCCACTGGCTGCTTTTCCAGGACATAGTCCAATTCTTTCAGTGCTTCAGCTCTTCAGCCAGCCCAGTTTTGTTTAGATTTGTGACTAACGAAGACTTTTTTTTTTTGGTCAGAACACGAAGAGGAGCTGGACCAGGAATTTGAGCTGGAGACTGACACTTTATTTGGAGGATTAAAGAAGGTACAAAGTGGATGC
Organism: Homo sapiens; assembly: GCF_000001405.40. Classification (NCBI taxonomy): domain Eukaryota; kingdom Metazoa; phylum Chordata; class Mammalia; order Primates; family Hominidae; genus Homo; species Homo sapiens. Next base: position 210,362,935 of record NC_000001.11, read on the forward strand.
ATAATAAATCTCAGTTTTCAAACCTGATTTCAATATTTCACATCACATTTGTATTTGGAGTCGATCCAGGTATCAGATTCAGCAGCAATCTGGAATGAAGCACCCTTTTTGCCGTAAAGGTGTGAGTGTGCTGTGTTGGGGAAGGCGTTCCCAGGGTCTCTATGTTCTTGTCCCCTGTACTCTTCTGAAGATACCAGAAATGTGACTAACCTTATCAGTTAGGACAGTTTTCACTTTTGTAAAGCTCAGAAACTTCCTACTTGACCTAGCCAGATCCATCAGAATCACATGCGGCCCCTGGACGCTCCTATACCAACTGCCGGCAGCTGCAGGAACATCTTCCTTCTGGCCTCTGAGTGTCCCTGGCTGTCCATGCTGCTGCAGAGCATGCTGGGAATTCACATCCCTCGTCCCTCTGGTAGGGCGGTGCCAGGTGGCTGGCTCGCTTGTCTTCAGCAGCAGCTCATTTTGTCTACTTTGGTAGCAGGCAGAGTGGCCACTGTTCTTTCACATACCCATGTCTTTCTAGATGTGACCAGTAGCACTTCTGTGCTAGAGTATATATTCTGGGTAGGTACCAGACCCTTCTCTTCCAGTTGAGAGATGCCTGACTACTTTTTTCTCCCACCAGAACCCCTGTCCCTTTTAGGCTGGGGTTCTTCTCATTCTTCTCCATTCAGTTTCTCAGGACCCCATTTCAGCTATGACTTGGACTGTAGGGGGTCCAGGGCCCAGGTCATGGTGGGGGCTTCGGGTCAAGGCTAATTATTGGCTGTATATTTGTTTTCTAAGTATTTTTATATGTTTTTAAAATGTTATCAGAGCAGTTTGTTTTGTTTTGTTTTCTATTTTTACTTTATGTAATATACCAAATAGATTACAGATTCAATCAGCCTTTTGTGGGCTGGCTTGGGACATAAAAGACACCTTGCATTCCAGGTTCTGAACACTCTGCTTGCAAATGAACTTTTGCAAGACAGTTCATTTCCAAGTTGGGTACTGCCTGTACTAATATTTTTCTATTGAAAGTTGCAGATCTTGCTTGAATTGTAACAAATGTAGCTCAATTTCCATTTTGATTTGCTAGGGTAGCCTGTTCCTTTCTCCCAGCTCTGTACAGAGCCATATGTAAGATACAAGGCCCATGTTTTTCTGTAACTGAGAAGAGCATCCTGCCCTGCATGGGGTGCCATTCTTGGCTTTTGTCGCTCTACCCACCAGATGCTTCCATGAAAACTTAGATGTAAATTGAATTTTCATCCATGGCATCCATTTCTAGATGTTTCTTATTTAAATAAGCCCTTTTTAGGATTGTTAATAAGAATGTAATGTGGGTAGTATTGTGCCCACTTCAGAGATGAGGAAATCTGGGAAGCTTTGTCACAAAGTGGAATTTGAGATGAAATAGGAGGTAGCCTTTCTGAGTGTCTCAGATCTACTCTTTACGAATGTAACACTAGCGGATGTCTTACAGCAGAAAAAAAGATGATTTTTTTTTCCTTTTAGAGTTAAAATTCAAGCATTTTAGATAATATTGGAAATATAGAATTATTTGCCAAGGCAAAAATAAGCAGACACATTTGAAAGACTTTTAGCTGCAGAGGAACAATGGTGAGGCAGCGTGAGAAAGTGAACACAGGGTCAGGCCCCAACAAGTTTTGGAGCTGCCACAGATTTCATGATCAAGGGCAGGCTCAGCCCAGCCATGCGTTGCTACTTCCAGACAAAGCGGCCTTGTCTTCACTGACTTCCCAGCTCTTGTCACTTCACTGGGTCAAGCCCAGCTGCTTGACTCCCTGCAGAGGCTCCAGAGTCCTGCAGAGATGACCCCTTCTCAGTGCTCTCCACAACAGCTCTCATAACAGGTCTGGGGTCGGGAGTGTTGTTGCTCAGGCCAATTCTGCCTTCACAGAAAAGTCCACGTGGCACAGACACACACACTCTGGGAGCTCCAAGGATTCCGTCTTTTGCCATCCTGACAAATCTGTCCATCCCTCTGTCTGACTATCCATTCATCTACCAGTGCTCTGAGCACCTCTCATCTTCTCATCTCTCTACTTCTCATCACCTTGCATGTGGGGTGGGTGGTTTGGAGCCCTAGAATTTACGGAGGAAATGGGTCCTGGTGAATATCCGGCAGAGGAAGGACATTGATATGGGTCCTTAGGATCAAGATACTCCTTGCTGAATATTTCTTTTCTCAGAGGCTGTAGGAAGTGGCAAGCACATGCTATTTTGGTCCAAATTCTAATCAAAAGAAGATATTAGATGTGACTAGAAATCATGACCTTTAGAAGAAAGCTTAGTTTTCTGACCAGCCCATCCCTTGAATGTTAGTCTGCAGCTGGGTTGGTAAACCTCAGTACTGCTGACAGTTTTTTTTTTTTTTTTTTTTTTTTTGAGACGGAGTCTCCCTCTGTTGCCCAGGCTGGAGTGCAGTGGTGTGATCTTGGCTCACTGCAACCTCTGCCTCCTGGGTTCCAGTGATTCTCCCACATCAGCTTCCTGAGTAGCTAGGATTACAGGCACCTGCAACCACATCCAGCTAATTTTTTTTATTTTTAGTAGAGATGGGGTTTCGCCATATTAGCCATGCTGGTCTCAAACTCCCAACCTCAGGTGATCCACCTGCATTGGCCTCCCAAAATACTGGGATTACAGGTGTGGGCCACCATGCCTGGCTGACATTTTATTTTGTTGAGATAGGGTCTCGCTCTGTAACCCAGGCTGGAGTGCAGTGGCACAATCTTGGCTCACTGCAACCTCCATCTCTCAGGTTCAAACAATTCTCTTGCCTCAGTCTCTTGAGTAGCTGGGATTATAGGCACACACCACCACGCCTGGCCAATTTTTGTATTTTTAATAGAGATGGGGTTTCACCACGTTGGCTAGGCTGGTCTCAAACTCCTGACCTCAAGTGATCCACCTGCCTCAGCCTCTCAAAGTGCTGGCATTAGAATCATGAGCCACCATGCCTGGCCACATTTTATTAAAAAAAATTTTTTTTTTTGAAGAGATGTGATCCTGCTCTGTCACCCAGGCTGGAGTACAGTGGTTGTAATCATAGCTCACTGGAGACTTGAACTCCTAGGCTCAAACGATCCTTCTGCCTCAGCCTCTTGAGTAGCTGGGACTACAGACATGCACCACCATACCTGGCTGATTTTTAATATTTTGTAGAGATGGGGTCTCACTATATTACCCAGGCTGGTCTTGAACTCCTAGCCTCAGCCTTCCAAAGCACTGGGGTTACAGGTGTGAGCTATGCTGCCTGGCCACTACTGACATTCTAGATTAGATGGCTGTTGTGGTGAGCTGCTCTGGACGTTGTACAATGCTTATCAGAGTCCCTGGACTCTACCTAGTAGATGCTAGCAGCATTTCCTGCCCTAAGCCTTAACAATTTTAAAAAGTGGGCTGGGTGTGGTGGCTCACTCCTGTAATCCCAGCACTTGGGAAGGCTAAGACCAGCGATCATTGAGGTCAGGAGTAGCCTGGCCAACATGATGAAACTCCATGTCTACTAAAAATACAAAAATTACAGCCAGGTGTGTGCCTGTAATCCCAGCTACTCCAGGGACTGAGACACAAGAATTGCTTGAACCCGGGAGGTGGAGGTTGTAGTGAGCAGAGATCGTGCCACTGCACTCTGCACTCCAGCCTGGGTGTCAGAGTGAGACCTTGTCTCTAAAAATAAAATCAAAAACAAGAAACAATTTAAAAAGTCTCCATGCATTGCCAAATGCCCCCAGGAGGCAAAAATCATCCCCTTTTAAGAGCAGCTGGTCTATAGCAATATTTAAGGGCTCTTAAATGACCACTCCCTTGGTCATGCCGATTTGCCATTCTTACCTTTACTCATCCTGTTCCTCTTCTGGATTGGGGCTCACGCCTTCCCTGTCCGGCCCTTACTCAGACTTCAGATCATAGCTGGCTCCCTGTCACGAAGCATTGCCTGAAGCTCAAGCTGAGCTTGGTGCTCATAGTTCCTGACACTTCCCTGCCTCTCTCTTTACTTCCTTCCACAAATACAGCTTTCAATGAGAGTGTCTCTGTGCTCAAGTCCATATGGAGCGCTGGGGACAGTGGTGAGCCAGACAGACAACATTCCTATGCTAGTTTCTCCTACTAGGGACAGGCTGACCGCAAACAAATGAACAATGGCCACAGATTGAGCTAAATGACATGAAGGCAGTAAACAGGGTGATAGGATAGCACTCTTTTGGGTGAAATCGTGTACCCTATTATGACAAATTTATTTGTAGAATTTTATTTGATGTTGTCCTTTCTGACTTAGATTGTGGGTCCCACAAAAGCAGGGCTGGGATTTAATCATTTCTGTATCTTCAATGCCTGGAGCAGAGTCAGTGAGTATTTTATTGAATTTAACTGCAGGAAAGAGTGAAGGGCCAGGTTGCAGCATGGAGGTGAGAAATACATTGGTCCTACGTGCCTCTAGATAGCCATGTAGGTAAGTGGGCTAAGTGGGACAGTGTGTAGAGTCAGAGTAGGGAGACACCATTCTGGGCACAAAAAATCACAAACTGCTTCTGGGAGAAGGGGGCTGACCTTCACCTGAGCTCCAGAGAATGAGTAGGATTTGGCAAGATCATCAGTAGAGGAGATGCTGTTCCAGTGGTGTTGCTATGGTTAGAAAAGGGAAGAATGTATTAGGGAAATGGTGAGTCAAAGTGAAGCTTCACTTAGGGCAGTGAAAGGGAGCTGGACCTGACTGTAGTCCTCCAGTTTTTGATGATGTTCAGGTTTGGAGGATTACAGCCCCAATCAAGAATGCTTTTGATCTTTGTCATTTCTTTGAGGGTAATGCTGATTGCACTTGCCAAGACAACAGAAGTGGTGTGGGTGCTTGCGTAGGTGCGGCTGTCAAGGGCTGTTCAGACTCCATATGCTTTGGTTTTTGCATCCTTTTTTTGTAATGTTTGCTCTTCCAGGCTGTCAGGGTAAAAGCCCCTCCCCCACCCCCCACCCCCTGCAGGCTCCAGTGTGCTGTGCTAGAATGGGGTGAACCCAGCCTTGCTGGGTTCTGGGGTGATCTGTCGTTGTATTTGCCAGTCCCTTTTTCTTTCTTCTTGCTGGTCTTCTCTCTAGTGATGCCAGGGAGATAGGGGAAATATTTCAGTGCCCACATTGCGTGCTCGATGAAGTAAACATGTTTCTAGACAGTAGCATCTGAACCAAACTGATACAAATGAAGTTCTATGTCAGGTATATTGTCATTCATTTTTTTCCTTTTATTTAGGATTCAAGATCATAGATTCTTGGCATAATGGAAAGAGCACAGGTTTGGAGTTGGATGGGCTTAAGTTCAAATTTGGCTTTGCTACATCTGAGAAAATAATTTGCCTCCTTTTTAAAAAAATGTATGTATTTTTTTGAGACAGGCTGAAGTACAGTGGCATGATCTTGGCTCACCATAACCTCTGCCTCCCAGGTTCAAGTGATTCTCTTGCCTCAGCCTCCTGAGTAGCTGGGGTTGCAGGCGTGTGCCACCACACTCAGCTAGATTTTGTATTTTTAGTAGAGATGCGTTTCGCCATGTCGGCCAGGCTGGTCTTGAACTCCTGGCCTCAAGTGATCCACCTATCTCAGCCTTCCAAAGTGCTGGGATTACAGGCATGAGCCACTGTGCCTGGCCTCATTTACCTCCTTTTAGCCTCAGTTTTATTACCTGCAACATGGGAATACAAGGTTATGGAGAAAGAGGTGATGGACAGAAAACACCCAGCATGCTTGTACTTAGTACAGAATAGATACACAATACCTGTTACTGTGGTTATTGTTACTTTTTTCTTCCATGGATGAATAATTCCTTCCTTTAGCATTAAGAATTACTGATTCTTGGTCGGGCACAGTGGCTCACGCCTGTAATCCCAGCACTTTGGGAGGCCGAGGTGGGCGGATCACCTGAGGTCAGGAGTCCACGACCAGTCTGGCCAACATGGTGAAACTCCGTCTCTACTAAAAATACAAAAATTAGCTGGATGTGGTGGCGGGTGCCTATAATCCCAACTACTTGGGAGGCTGAGGCAGGAGAATCGCTTGAACCCGGGAGGCGGAGGTTGCAGTGAGCCAAGCCTGCGCCATTGCACTCCAGCCTGGGCAACAAGAGTGAAACTCTGTCTCAAAAAAAAGAAAGAAAAAAAAAAAGAATTGCTGATTCTCCCTCTGTAGCAAGGAGGTAACGTTCTACAGAGAGACATTTACATGTAGAGGGGGACTGCTGTTGAAAGGAGCTCTCAAAATCCTAATGCATTATGAAGAGTGTTACAAGTAATCAATTCTGTTCTTTCCTGAGGACACATTTTCCCATGACAGGTTTCTGAAATTGGGGCAGACCTCTAAATAAGCTGTTCTTTCAGAAGTAAAATCAGAGAGGACTTTCCATTGCCTGTGAGGAGGCTTAGGAAGAAGAGACAGAGGCAGACGGGAGCTTGAATACGAATGACTATGAACATAGATAAAGAGGTACTTCTATAAAGACACAGTTCTTAGCTACTCATGCTTTGCCCATGAAGATTTTTAAGATTTGGCTTATTTATAAATGCCTCTGCATTTTAATACTTCAGGAAAACAACATTCCATTTTGACTCATTTAACACATGAGTTAAATGCACACCTGCTGTGTAAGCAGCTTCCAGGCCACGTGCCAGGGATGCTGTGACATTCCAGGCTCAGTCTCTGTCCTAAGTGGGCTCTGAAGTTTGGGGGAAGGTGATGATGTGACAGTGAGCTGGTGGTGCAACAGCCACTGGGGCTTGTAGAGACAGAGGGTGCAGAGAACCCCAGCGGCAGGGACTGAAGGGAGGTGATGGCTGGGAGACGGGAAAGGTAGGTGAAGGGTATAGCATGCCTGACGACCTGGATTTGAGTGAAATAAATTTGGCTTGGCTAGAAGGTTGAGTTGTGAGGAGGGCAAATGACTCAAGACAGGGAGGGGATAGATCGTAAAGGCCATGAAGTGCCATATGCGGAGTCTGGACTTTATCCAGAAGGCAGTGGTCAGTCATTGAAGGGTTTCAGGTGCCATTTGTTCTGTGGACTCTTTCTGGAGCCCTCTGACTGATTTTCCTGCCTTGCCCTGTCTCTCTCTTCTTTCTCTTCTCTCTCTGCATACACATATACACACACACACTCTTGATCTGTTAGTTTTGCAGAGCTAAACCCTTGATTCTACCTTCACCTTATTTTCTCCTAGCTTCTTCAATGACTTTTTTTTTTTTTTTTTTTTTTTTTTCCTGAATGCAGAGTCTCACTGTGTCACCCAGGCTGGAGTGCAGTGCATGATCTTGGCTCACTGCAACCTCTGCCTCCTGGGTTCAAGCGATTCTCCTGCCTCAGCCTCCCAAGTACCTGGGATTACAGGTGCCCATCACCATGCCTGGCTAATTTTTGTATTTTTAGTAGAGATGGAGTTTCACTATGTTGGCCAGGCTGGTCTTGAACTCCTGACCTCATGATCCACCCATCTTGGCCTCTCAAATTGCTGGGATTACAGGTGTGAGCCACTGCATCTGGCCTTTAAGGACCTTTTTAATGAAACAAATAATATTTCCCATGAACTACTAGATAGAAGAGAGAGAGAACAGAGCAGGGTACCTGGTGGCTAAAAATTAATAAGCAAATTTGATGTTTATCCATTCACATTGCAGATGCTATTTTTTTTTTTTTTTTTTTTTGGAGACGGAGTCTCACTCTGTCACCCAGGCTGGAGTGCAGTGACATGATCTTGGCTCACTGCAACCTCCGCCTCCCGGGTTCAAGCGATTCTCTTGCCTCAGCCTCCCGAGTAGCTGGGACTACAGGCATGTGCCACCATGCCCAGCTAAGTTTTTGTATTTGTAGTAGAGACGGGGTTTCACCGCATTAGTTAGGATGGTCTTGATCTCCTGACCTCGTGATCCACCAGCCTTGGCCTCCCAAAGTGCTGGGATTACAGGCATGAACCACCACACCTGGCTGCAGATCCTATTTTTACGTTAGGCAGAGAGCTACAATTCCTATTCCTGTTCTCACCAGGAAATCACTAACATCTTACATTTTTCCTACCTGTCCGCAAATTTACATGTCAGGAAGAAAATCTAGCATGGATGAGACTAGACAAAAGGTCATGTACTGATGGGTAAAGAGCCGGCATTCTTTGTGTTCACAAGAAGGAAGCAAACCTGACCTTCCATCACCAATCATGGGTTTCTTTTTTTTCTTATTTATTTTTTTGAGACAGAGTCTCACTCTATTGCCTGTGTTAGAGTGCAGTGGCACAACCATGGTTCACTGTAACCTCTGCCTCCCAAGTTCAAGCGATTCTCGTGCCTCAGCCTCCCAAGCAGGGCCTACAGGCATGTGCCATCATACTTGGCTAACTTTTTGTATTTTTAGTAGAGACAGGTTTTCAACATGCTGGCTAGGCTGGCCTCAAACTCCTGTCCTCAAGTGATCCACCTGCCTTGGCCTCCCAAAGTGCTGGGATTACAGGTGTGAGCCACCCTGCCTGGCCTAATCCATGGGTTTCTTGCCCCTGACATTTTGGAGACTCTTCAACCCACATTCTTTGGAGGGGCTGGCATGGAACACAGGAATCTGTCTCTGCTAAGCAAGCCTCTCTGGGAAGGGGAAAAACTGTATAAAATCCAGTTTTCTGGTAAGACAGGCTGAACATTCACGCACACAGCCAAATCACTTATTAATCTGCTCCCATCAGATGGAGGGAAGCAGAGAGATGACAGACATGCTGGAATAATCTTTGAGGGGCTGCGGCTTAATGAAAATGAGTTAAGGCCTAACCTCTGTAAACTCACCAGAGTTTACACACATGAAACAAAGCAAACGTTGCCAAGAGATCAATGTTCCTTTATAAGAAGTCCCCAACCCCAGTGGGCATATTCACCTCAATTCAGCAAACATTATCAAGAGTCTACTAATGTTTGAGGGAGTTCGATGCAAAGATGAAGACATTCCCACTGTTGAGAATGGTGAGAAATTTCTCAGTCACAAACCAGTCAGCTTACAAGTCAGTGCTTACTGCCTGCTTTCTGATCTGGGTTGTGATAATGCTGTGGGTTAAGGAATTAAGAGGCATTATTTCTCTACTCAACAAGTTTATACTCTATTTGAGAATTCCAGGAGGACACCCCTAGCTTTAATATGGCTGATGTGTGAAGTATTTAACAAGGGCCAGAGCTGTACACAGCCAGGACAATTGGCCCTGCTCGTGGGTCCTGCCTGAAAGCTGGCCCTGGCATGCCATTTAACAAAGTGTTTTCCATATGTATGATTGTCCCTAGTCGGTGTAGCCAAAAATTGCTGGGAGAGTTTCTAGCCTTGGAATGATCAGAGAAGACTCTCTGGAATAGGTGGATTGGAGCTGAGTCTTGAATAGAAGTACTATGTTTTGAACTGACCCAAGCCTATTTTGTTGTTTAACAAAAATAAAGTTCTTTGGTTTTACTCTTGGTAACTTCTGTCACTTGGAGATGGACAGGAGTTAAATGTCTTCTCTCCCACAACCTTGCCACCAAGTGGTATGTTAAACAGTGAAGGTGTCTAACTGAATTCTCCTACAAGTACAAACATTCATTAGGTAGGGAAGTACAAAACCATCATTGAACTTGTTCCTGAAAGCTTGTGAAGCCTCTATTGTCTGTCTTTAGGTACTCCAACAAGCATCTTGCACGGAAGTTCCTTCTGAGGCTGGTGCAATTCTATTCTGCTGGCTGAAGCAGTTACCCTTCTAGTCTGATTAGAGGATAGAGCCTTATTAAAGCAAAGGACACAGACCAAGAGAGTGTTAGACTTTCAGTGCTTTGGGTGCTGGGCTCAAGGGAGGTGTTTTTTTTTTTTTTTGTGATCCTTCTGGCTCAGCCTCCCAAAGTGTTGGGATTACAGGCGTGAGCCACTGTACCTGGCCTCAAGGGATTCTTACATACATGCTTCATTATTACAAGGGTATCAGAGCCTGAGAAAAATTTTAATCCATCACATATTGAGCACCATGCTTTTCATTACTAAAATATTTATTTCTAACATTCCTTATGCTAGTAAACTTTCAGGTGCAGCTTTAGGTACCATGTTGGAATTATTTGAATTGTAGTCATGTCTGGGAGTAGATTTCTGATTAGAATCCTTCAAATGCTAACTCACTCTTTGTGGACTCCTCATTTGGATACTTTCAATGTTAAGAACTGTCCTTAGAGGTGGATTAAAGTTAATTTACACACAAACATGGAAGTGCTGTAACATGATTCAGACTTATATAAGTGCCATAACAAGACTCAGAGAGAAAGGGGGACGGGATTATTCCAGCCTAGGGCAGGTTGAATAGTGGCGGGATCTGAAATTTGGGGGGAGGTATGGGGAAGTGGGAAGGAGGGAAAACATTTCCTTCTCTCAGTACATTTCCTAAAAGTGGTGCCTGTCAGCATTCTTAAAAAGGTTATTACCTTTTAAAATCATGACATGACAGTTGATAAGCCTTTGTTAAAAAGAAATTAAGCAGCAGCAGCAAGGTAAGAGCGAGATCACAGGGGCACGTGGGAGAAGATGTAAAGTGGGGTGTCTTTGTGTGGGGAACTGACTGATGCTACTTTCAGGGATGACAATAGCTGCCGAAAAGTTCGAGATGGATGAAGGTTTGTTATTCCATCATGATTTTGCTCCCAGGTTTAATGAAAGCAAAGCTCAGGTCAAATTCTATCTGGCATGTGTACGTTTATTAAACACTTACTAGGCAAGCAGTGGAAACCAGTTTACACCAAGCTGATCAGTGGAATTGATGGAGTCCTTTAAGGAGCTTGCATCACCACCTTGCATTGAATTTGTTACTAGGTAGATAGATAATAGAATGTTATCTAGAGAAGGATGGATTTGGGGCTTTTTTGCAGACAGGCAACCAGAAATTCTCCCAACTATGTGGCTGAGTTTAGGATCTTAAAGGCCATCACTTAAGGGGGAGTCTCCAAATTGTCTAAGCCAGTCTGTGTCTCCAATGTTAATGTTGCTAATTAGCAAGTCAGATGTCACCAGGGAAAGTTACACAGACTTTTATCATGCAAGTATTCAGACCTTTGACATGGAAAACAAGAGTTAACTGTCTTTGCAAGTTCTGTTACACAATGTTTAAACAAACAGTGACAATGAATCACTTAAGCCTAAAGTTGCACCATAATGTTTTCCTCTTTAAGTCTTTTTTTATAAAACATGATCTGCCTCCCCAGGGCAAGGCTTACAAAAAATTAGCTTATAACTGATTTGTTTCTCTCCACGGAAATCTTTAGTAAAAGGCGAAAGATTTATTCGATCTGAAGAGAAACCAGTGTAATGCTACAAATTAGTTCAACTCATTGTTGCAGTAACCGCAACTCCTAGTACGCCGATGGTGCCTACAGTTCGCACAAAAAGAATTACTGCCTACAGTTTGCACAAAAAGAATTCTTTAATCTTCCCATAGTTAGAAATGTTGAGTCAAAAGAAATATTCTTTTAAGCTTTAAATAATTTACTATGTGCAGGGTACTATGGGTATGCAAATGAGATGTTGAGTCATCACCTTGAGATTCCACACCTTGTTATTCACCGGGTGCCTTTGGTGCTACCACTAGGGGGCGAAGTAGAGGCCATGCTAGCTGAGTTCTAAATCCCATCCTGGGTTAACCATGGAAACTCGTTTTAGCCCTTTTTGTATAATGGGACTTGGAGTACGATTTGTTATCTTTAGCATCATCTTATTTTGAAACAATTACACATTTACAGGAAGTTGCAGCAGTAGTACAGAGAGGCCTTGTGTACCTCTACCGAGCTTCCCCAGTGGGGAATCTTTTTTTTTTTTTTTTTAATCCCTTACTTTTAATTTTAGATTCCAGGGGTACATGTGCAAGTTTATTACCTGGGTATATTGTGTGACGCTGAGGTTGAGGGTATGAATGATCTTGTCACCCAGGTACTGAGCACAGTACCCAGTAGTTAGTTTTTCAGGCCTTACCAGTCCTCCCTGCCACCCCCCAGCAGTTCCTGGTGTCTGTTGTTGCTAACAGGAGAACCTGATGGTTAGCTCCCCAGTGGGGAATCTTCCATAGTGAACTCAAACCCAGGAACTTGACATTAGTACAACCCACAGACTTTAATCAGATTTCACCTGTTTTGCAAGCACTTACTTGTGTATATGTATATAGTTATATGTGGTTTTATCACATGTGTAGATTCATGTAAACACCAACATGACAAAGATACAGAACCTTGAAGAGCTACTCTGTGCTGCCTCTTTGATGGCCATACTCACCCTCCTCCTCTTCATCTCTAATCCCTGAAAAACCACAATGCTTTTAAATATATATGTATGTGTGTATGTGTATATACACACACACATTTAGGATTCTTATATCTTATTGGTGAGAAGATATTTTTATCATTCTGCAATGACCCTTTTTGACCCTGGTGATTTTCTTTCTCTGAAGTCTACTTTATCTGCCATTGGTAGAGCCACTCCCACTTTCTTTTGATTCATGTATGTATGCCATATCCTTTTTCATCTTTTAACTTTCCACCTCCCCATTTCATTATATTTAAAGTGAATTCCTGTGGACAGTCCAGAGTTGGGTCTTTTTTCTAGCAATCCATTCTGCCAAGCTCTGTCTTTTAATTGCTGTATTTAATTTGATTGGGGTTTATTCAGCTTCTTGAATTTGTAGGTTTATGCTTTTTGCCAAATTTGGAGATCTTTTTTTTTTGCCATTATTTCTTTGAACGTATTTTTAACCTCATATTTTTTCTTCTTTCCTTCTGGAAAATTTAATGACACCAATGTCAGATCTTTTGTTCTTATATCAAGGGTCTCTGAGGCTGTATTTTTTCAGTCAGTTTTCTCTCTCTTGTTCAGATTGGGTGATTTTTATTGACCTATCCTTAGGTTCAATAATTAAAAAAAAAAAAAAATCTCACTCTGTCATCCAGGCTGGAGTGCAGTGGCACAATCTTGGCTCACTGCAATCTCTGCCTCCCGGGTTCAAATGATTCTTCTAACCCTCCCAAGAAGCTGGGATTACAGGCATGTGCCACCATGCACAGCTAATTTTTTTTTTTTTTTTTTTTTTGTATTTTTACTAGATAGGGGGTTTTGCCATATCGGCCAGGCTGGTCTGGAACTCCTGGCCTCAAGTGATCCACCTGCCTCGGCCTCCCAAAGTTCTGGGATTACAGGCATGAGCCACCACGCCTGGCTCAATAATTCTTTCTTATGTAATCTACTTTTGCTATTAAGCCCATCTAGTAAGTTATATATTAAGTATAATGCATTAATGTAAATGTTAATATTTATATCAACATTTACTTAATACTTAATTTTGTTTTGCTTATTGTCGTTCCTTAGGCCCTGAGCTCTCTAGCCAGTCTGCTCTTTTCACCATTCACAATCCCCTTACATTCGTTTTATATGTTACATCCAAGGGTTTTAGCTGTCGTTAGTGGAGGGATAGGGATAAATGTGTGTACTATATCTTGTCTGAAAGCAGACGTCTCTGTGTTGTAGCTTGTGTTTTAAAGTAAGTCTTAGGCATCATAAATGAGTTATTTTATTAATACGCAAATAGATTTCTGAAGAAAGATGGTGGAAGTAATGGACTGTGGGGGAAGGATGGGGCAGTGTGCCCTGAGGATGTGGTGAGCCTTGGTCTCGTTCTTCTCTGTCTCTATTCCCAGTCTCCCAGGCCCCTGGGCTGCCTGTGACGGCTGGTGGGTTCAGGGGTGCGCTGGGTGGGGAGGTGTCTCTTGGACAGCTTGGGCAGCTAATGGGCAAAGGGGACAGATGTAAAGATGTATGGGAGAACTCCAGCATAGTTCTGCTCACCTGTTTCCCTGGTCTTTCAGGCAGTGTGTAAAGTAGAAAGGTGGTAGCTGGGATTATGGAGGGTTCCCTTCTTCTTCCCCTAGATAGATGGCAAAAATGTTAGTTCTCCCTTTTTCTCTCTGAGATCACACTTTCTTTAATTGGCCTTCTGCCCTGGGGGCCTCCAACATTTTGGGACTCCATGTGGAGTTCCAGTTTGCTATGTCTGCCCACTGCAGAGATGTTCTGTACAAATCAGCTTTCTTGCATATGTGAAGACTTCCTAAGTATAAAGTAAGTTCTTTGAGTGTGAGGATCATTTTAGGGGCTGTGGCCCCCAACAGGCTGGGGATCTTTTTTCCTTCCACGTTATTGTGACTCACTTTGTCTTTTTGATATTCTGGGAAAGTGACACTAATGGTATGTGTGATTTATTAGCATAGTTTGAAGCTGAGGAATCATGATTCTGTGTAATTTGTTCTCTAGTCATCTCATTCTATTACATTTTTTTCATCATCTCCAATTTGTTTATCACCTTTTTTCATTGTTTATAGCTCTTTTTTCCATATGCTGTGTAGAAAATAGTGTTTTTCCAATTTGAGAGATGTGGGGAAAATAATACAGTTTTGTGCCTTCAACTTCACCCTGAAACTTAATATTTCTTTTTAAGCATTTGATTCCTTCTTTGCTGGCTTTAGGAGGAAAGGAAAGGTGGGAATATGGCATAGACAGAGCAGGGAGACAGAATCTATTCAAGTTAAACCGAATAGACTCTGCAGTCTTGCTCTCCTGCATAATCCAAAGTGACTTCTGAGAAACAGGTCAGTAGGTAGAGTTGTGACCAGAGGATGTTACTGAGTTTAGGTTGGCAGTTGGGCTGAAGATACGCAAAATAACTTACCCATGTTAATTAGGTCCTCTTGATGTAATTAAACCCTCTTAAGAGGCTTTCTCTTTTCTTCTCCCACAAAACACCTCCCCTTTACCATTTTACACTGGACCAATTTGCCTGGCTTCTGTGGCGAGGGGCAATGAAGAGGCTGGGAATGGTACACAGTAGAACAGGGCAGCCTGTGCCTGTCCTGTTGGCAGCATCCCTGCCCTTGCAAGCAACTTCACCTATGCAGGAGGGTGAAGATGTTTCAGTAGGGACTTTGTTATTTACAGAAAAAAAGGTTTTATTAGTGGAAGCATTTTATCTTTAAGAAAGTATTGATTGAGAGAGAGTGTTGTCTCTGGAAATTGTAAGCAGTAAAATGATTTAGTTCAAATTCTTTTAGAAATAGAAAAGCAGCTGTTGAAGGAAAAAGAAAACTCTTCCAATAATTGCTCAATGAATCATTAGCCTGAGTTCATTCGGAGAGCAGTGCCTCTTTTGTGCAGAATTCTTACAAAATTAGTCTCCTTTTGTGTTTCTTGTCTGGAGATTTACGGGCCATTAAGGTCAGTTTGCTGCCTTTGAATGTGCAGGGAAACATTTATGATTTCAAGAACCTTATAAAGGTTTTCCCTGATCTTGGATAAGTCTTACTCAGTGTAATTAGAAATTATATATGGTCTCAAAGTAAACAATAAGCAAATAATGCTATTTAGGAAATAGGTACAGAAACATGTATAGTATTTCTGTAGTATTTTATTTTTACAACTTGCTAGATATAAGGATAAGGAAAATAGTAAATATATTCAGCTCTATACTGTTTTCTCTGAAGGAAAAAGAGGTATAATAATGAAAAATATAAACTGGTTGGTAAGGTAGGTCATTTCCTTGTTTTTCTTTAAAAATTGATATACAATAGTTGTATAAATTTTTGGAGTACATGTGATACTTTGATACCTCTATACAGTGTGTAATGATTAAATAAAAGTAATTGGGATATCCATCACCTGAAACATTTATCTTTTTTTTTTGTATAGAGAACATTACATATCTTTTGGTTTTGAAATACATAAATGCATTTGTGACTGTATTCTAACAAACAGTCACTGCCATCATTACCTAGTTCTTGAGCATTCATTGGGTTGACCTAGCTGGTGTTTTCTTCCATTTCATTTTCCTCCATTGAATAGACTTATTTCAGACTAGTGTTCTTCAAAGTGAACTGTTTTCATAATGCTTTTGTTATAAAGCTGGAGCTGGATTCCAATCAGAGGAGACATTTCTTCCGTAGTATGTTAGTCATGGTTCCATTGCAGACAGCAGAATCTATTGCAGTTATTTTAAAAAGAGAATTATTGCAGGGATTTAAAGACATTTGAGAATAATAGAAAAACCTGTAGGAGCAGGCACTAAGTGAGCTACCAGAAACAGTTCCAAGAGCCACTGTACACAACATCTGCTGCCACATAGCTCCTTGCTTGAGAACCTAGGGCTCTGGTGCCACATCTGACAGCTTCAGCATCTCTGAACTGACTGGACCCCAGAATCTCCAGCATGGCTGCTGCAGAACAGCCAAAGGGTCTCTGCCACCATTTTCTTCAGAAGTCTCACAGACCATACATTGTTTCTTTACTCTGAGAGTCATAGTGTTTGTATTTGTTCATGAGAAGCTCAGCCATTTTTAGACCTGCCAGCTACAGGGAATTCTGGGATATTTAGTTTTCAACCTTCTAACCTGTAATGTGTAGGAAGTCATGCTAGAGAGGAGTAAATAGTCATGGTTGAGTTAATCGGCAGTACCTGCTGTACAAGCAGATATTTTCTTCTTAGGAAAAGGTTAAGATGGTTGCTTTCCTGAATGCTGAAGTTCCTTTTTGTTAACCGTGGGCTCACTTCTTTTCAGTCCACAGTCTCTAGAACTTTCTTCTTTCCTTCTTTTGGACTGGGTTTGGGATCTTGAACAGCTGAATTCTTATATTTTAACTATGAGTGCTTCTAACTGTTTCAGGATATGCAGCTTGAAAACTCCTGGAGTTGTGTTTCTGGGCCTATCAAAGTAAAATCGAGTTTGTTGTTTGTTCGTTTATTTACATATTTACTGAACAAACAAGGACATAATACTTCATACATTCCTGGCTGTATTCCAAGTGTTCTCCATACTTTAGTTTATGTGTTTCTTATAAATATGAAATGGGTCCTCTATTGTAATACTACTGTACTTTGGCCATGGCTTGAGAGTCAGTAATTGATTTTTCGGAGAGTGGGCCTTGAGTTGGTCAGGATAATTTGCAGAGAAGATCATCCACTGGAACTATTCTGTGAGCTTATATTTTCTCCCTACCTGGGGTTATAAAGGCATTCTAGGGCAGATACCGGATGCTCCACTTTTGGTATCTCTTCTCCCTCTTTCCCAGTAGACTGTGCTGATACCAGGTTCCTAAAAATAGTTTGACTCATTGTATAATCATTCAAATTTTTCAAATTTTTATTGAGTATCTAATATATTCTGTTTATTGAAGAATACAATGCTTAATCTATATGTAGACCCTGTCGGAAAGGAGCTCACAGTCTAGTGGAGAGACAGCTCAGTAACCTGTAATTAAAGCACAGTGGGGACTGGGTCTGGTGGCTCACGCCTATAATCCCAGCACTTTGGGAGGCTGAGGAGGGTGGATCACTTGCAGTCAGGAGTTCAAGATTAGCCTGGCCAACGTGGTGAAACCCTGTCTCTACTAAAAATACAAAAATTAGTTGGGCATGGCAGTGTGCACCTGTAATTCCAACTTCTTGGGAGCTGAAGCAGGAGAATCACTTGAACTCAGGAGGCGGAGGTTGCAGTGAGCCGAGATCATGCCACTGCACTCCAGCCTGGGCGACAGAGCAAGACTCTGTCGCAAAAAATAAATAAAATAAAATAAAATTTTAAAAAGCACAATGGGATAAGTTGCTTTGTTACAGGTAACCGTAGTGGCATATTGTGGGAGCATAGGCAAGGGACACCGAGTCCAGGCTGAATGGATGGACTACTAAAGGCTTCCTGGGAGAAGGCTTGCCTGAGCTGAGACCTGAAAGATATGTCCTCATTCACATGATGCTTCAGTGATGGTTTTTCCAAATAGAGGGAGCAAAGTGTGGGAGGCCCAGCTGCATGAATGTGGTGCTGTGGGGTCAGAGGGGTCAATGCAGTTGTAATGTGGGATGGTGGGGGCAGTGAAGGTTAGGTACGACGATGGAAGGGTGGACAGGGGGACAGGGCCATTTTATGAAGAACTGCATGAGTCTCACTGAGAAGTTTCTCTGGAATGCTAAGGGGAGCACATGAAGAATATTAAGTGGGGGAAATAACATGATCAAATATGCTCTTAAAAATATTACTTTGGTGCTGTGTAGGGAGCATGGAATGGAAGGAATAAGGCTAAATGGGTAGAAGTGAGTAGAGCACAGTCTGCGGAATTGAAGTAGGTCTAGCATATAGTACGGGGAGGAAAACGATTTTGCAGTAACTCCAAGACTTTCCTGGATAACAAAGCCTAATTGATATGCTGTGATTGACTATATGAAGCAGCATATACTAGATGCTTAATAAAATTTATTGAAAGATTTGAATGATTATGCAGTGGGTCATTTAAAAAAATTTTTTACTTTTATTTTTCTGAGACAGAGTCTTGCTCTGTTACCTAGGTTGGAGTGCAGTGACATGATCTCAGTTCACTGCAACCTCCACCTCCCAGGTTCAAGTGATTTTCATGTCTCAGCCTCCCGAGTAGCTGAGATTGTAAGTATGCGCCAGCACTCCCAGCTAATATTTGTATTTTTAGTAGAGATGGGGTTTCACCATGTTGGCCAGGCTGGTCTCGAGCTCCTGGCCTCAAGCTATCCACCCACCTTAGCTTTCCAAAGTGCTGGGATTACAGGCATGAGCTACTGCACCCGGCCTCAAATCATTTTTAAGGCTTACCCATGGCCTTTCTTAGACTCTGCTTCATTTGTAGATGTAAACTTCTGAGCTGATAGCAAACTATCTGCAAATACCATCCATAGACATAATAAAACAGTGCTCCTGACCCATCTCACTAGGAGATAAACAGTGGAACTATTCAGCAGGTCATGGACTGATTACAAAAAAAATCCAAAAAGACTCCAAAAACAGTGGGACCAGGGATCTGGGTTGAAGAACTGGTGGACTGAGCTAACTGATGTGGCTACAGGGTGAATTTCTCTCATTCACTTAGGGCGTCTCGGTGAGTGCCTTGGCACTTGGCTTGGTACTTTACATTTTAGTCTATTGACCAGGCCTTATTAGCTATGCGTTTGTGTTGTTTTCAGCTGGAGAATAGTCCTCAGTTTTCTGGGGAATGCAAGAGAAAGCACAGAACCAGAATTTTAGCCATCTCTTGTGATAACAACACAGTACTCCAGCTAAGAGGCTGAGAGTGAGTTGTGATCTGGCAAGGTTTAAGGGCGATGAGAATTCAAGGCTAGAAGGAGGAAAGATTTACTCAGTGGTGAGTTGCTAGGGCAAGTCCTCATTTGCCAGGAATTTTTTCTTGTAACTTTCTTCCCTAGTGACATAGGGGTGTGAGAAGAGGGGACGACCCCTTCTCCACGGGTGGGTGACAAGCACTTTCTTAGTATTTCTTTCCTTTAGCCTAGAAAATAATTGTCTTTCCCATTTTCTGAAAGGAATCTTAGACATTGTGCTAGTGGAGCCCTTCATTTTACACACAAGGAAATTCAATCCCAGATAGTTAAGTGACTTTTCCAAGTTTAAACAGAGGGAGAAATGTGACAAGTACTAGATAGGCTGATTTTTTGGCTCCGTTCCTGCTCCTCGCCATTTTAAAGGCTTGCTGAATGTTGGGCATCTAGGAGACAGATTTAAGTCAAGGTTCTTGCTCTCAGAGAGATCCATTTTTCCCTCCAGAGAGAAAATACAGGAATAAAAGTGATATAATAAATATGCCATAATAAAAGTTCTAGAATTGAGATGTGGATGACGGAGAAGGGAGTGCAATGAGGTCCACCTGGGGAGGTAGGTATGGGAAAGCTTCACTCTGGAGCTGACATTTGAATTGTACCATTTAGTGAGTATTTTGTGCATGTCACTGGGCTGGCTTTGTGGTTACGGGGCATAAATGAGGTGCACTCTAGGTTGGAGATTGCCTAGTCAAATAGTGTTGTGGGGCAAAGGGGTGGGAAGGGCAGAAAGTCCAGGTACAGGGACAAGCATGAGTAGAAACATCTCAGAAAAGGGTTTCCTCCTTGGCTTCAGACAGGCCTAGGTTTGAAACCCGGCTCTGCCCCTTACTAGGTTTGGATAAATAATCTGCTTTCTCTGACCTCCAGTTAACTCATTTGTAACACGGAGTTAGACAGAACTACTCAAAAAAGAAAAAAGAAAAAGTGAGCTTCAGGCCGGGCACGGTGGCTTATGCCTGTAATCCCAGCACTTTGGGAGGCTGAGGCTGGTGGATCTCTTGAGGTCAGGAGTTCGAGACCAGCCTGGACAATGTGGTGAAACCCCGTATCTACTAAAACTACAAAAATTAGCCAGGTGTGGTGGTATGCACCTGTAGTCCCAGCTACTTGGGAGGCTGAGGCACGAGAATCACTTGAGCCTGGGAGGCAGAGATTGCAGTGAGCCGAGGTTGTGCTATTGCACTCCGGCCTGGGCAGCAGAGCGAGACTGTCTCAAAAAAGAGCTTCAAATCACTGACGAAATAAAAAGAAAAAAACCCAAAACTTATTTATTTCAGCTACATGACATCCTGGAAAAAGTAAAATATGGAGACAGTAAAAAGATCATTGTTTGCCAGGGATTGAGGGGAGCAGGGCCAGGGTGGGAGGGATGAAGAGGTAGAGTACAGAGGATTTTTAGGGCAGTGAAACTATTTCATATGATATGATAATGGTGGATATGTGTTTTTATACATCTGTCCAAACCCATAGAATATGCAACATCAAGAGTGAACCCGAATATAAACCATGGACTTTGGGGTATCAATGTAGGTTCACCAGTTGGAACAAATATATTACTGTGGTGGGAGATGCTGATGGAGAGGGGTTAAGGGGTCTATGGGAATTCTCTGTACATTGTGCTTAATTCTTCTGTGAACTGAAAACTCTCTAAAAGATAAGGTCTGTTAAACAAATTGAGCTACTTTAAAGATTGTTATGAGGCTGTAATTAGAAAACACATACTCGAGTGTTCATCAGTGACTGGGAAGAAAGGACAGGTCTGTCAGTTTCACTGACATATGAAGTTGAGTTGCAGCACTGTTACCCCTCTCATTCTGCAGTGGGTTTTTGGTGTGTCTTCATTGTGGGGTGTGGTGGTCTTGGTGCTGGGGGTCTTCCTATTTAGACTTTGAGCTCCTCATGGTGCCTAGAGCAGAACTCTGCTGTGGGTAGGAAAAGAGGCAGTTACAAACACTAGGCCCAGACCCTTTCCTTTGTTAAGAAAGGAAAAAGTGTTTTGCTAGGACGTTAGAGTTACTATTTAAGAAACCCAGAACAATCATGTCTCTCAGAGTCCTTAGTATTACCTGGTAGCAGAATGTAAGCCTCAGAATAAACAACCACATTTGTTAACTTGTTCAGTGAATTCCGAAGTCTGGGTGCCCAGAGCTTTGAACGGTGAACGGGAGGATGACTGCTCTGTTGGTGAGTGTTAGGTAGCAGCTTCGGAGTATGTGCCCTCCCTGCCTGGGAATGGTACGGGGCGGGCTGAGCTGTTAAGGATTCTGTGAGTTTATGAACATTCAGCTGTAGGAAGGCATAATCAGTCATGTAGATTGGTCCCCAGGCTGGTAGTATCACATCACCTGGAAGCTTGTTAGAAATATAGAATCCCAGGCCCCACCCTTGATTGACTGCATCAGAATCTGCATTTTAGCAAGATGCATAGGTGGCTTGTGTCCACTTTGAGGTTGGATGTGGGTGACTTCTCCTTGGAGTACAGCCTCCCTGCTTCCATGGAGAAGCCTGCCTAGTTCTGCCTGGCTGAGATTTAGCTCCAGTTTATATCTGACCCCCTTAGAGTGCCAAAGAAGAGGTTCCTAATTGACTAATAACCATGGAGGCAAGAAAGAAAATGGGGGAAGGGACAGATCATGATGTTGTTCCTGATTTCAGGCTTTCATGTTTGCCTTGAAATGTGTGACTGAGCTCAGAGTCTATAAAGCTTTTGCTTCAAGAAGCAGTGAGTCAATATTTTTCTTACCCAAATCATTAAACATCATCTTGACCTATTCATTGGCCCAGCTTTTCTGTTTGGTCATTTCCCTTAGGTAACTTTTTTAAATAGGGAAGAATAGACATGAGAGAGACATTTTTATTTCCTTTAAATGAATGTTTTCTGTGATAATTAGAGGTGAAAGGCCATGTGTAATTTTTGTTGATGGGATTTTACCAGCAGAGTTTTCAGGAGTCCTGGACTTTCTGGTGGAACAGAAAGTCTTATATGTTTTGTTGTATTA
The DNA here is from genome assembly GCF_000001405.40 of Homo sapiens. Taxonomy (NCBI): domain Eukaryota; kingdom Metazoa; phylum Chordata; class Mammalia; order Primates; family Hominidae; genus Homo; species Homo sapiens. Next base: position 210,385,123 of record NC_000001.11, read on the forward strand.
TATCCTTTTTTCCACCCTAAAAAATTAAACTTGGAGAAGTTTCGAGGCATAGGTAAGCTTGGGGTCATGAATTCTAAATGTAATTCTAAGTGTTCAAAAATGTTGTATTTAAAAAGCTCATATGTTTTTCTTTTTTTTTTTTTTTCTTTTTGAGTTTGTATTAAAAAAGTGTCTTGGCTTTTGTGTCTTTTAGCTGTATCCCTGTTATAAAAGTGGTATTTTACTAGCATGGCCTCATCACATGACCTTTGAACTTATTTACATTTGTTTAGTTAATTGACTCTTGGCTAATTTGGAAATCTCTAGATGGGGAAATAAGCTGTGGATCAGGGATCAGGAGCCAGGTTAAAGCTTTGAGTTCTCTGCTGTGCTGCCTGGCTGTGTGTTTGTGGGCATGTCCCAGACTCTGGTGTAGTCATCTCTAAATGGAAGCAATTCAACTACATACATGATTTCCAGCAAGGGACAGGGGCTTTATGAGCAGGTCATGTATCAGGATCTGGGGTGTGGGGAGCATGTGTAATCTGAGAATGCGCAGTATTGTATTTCCTTATTTGAAGAAATGGGAAAACTTTTTTAAAATGAGTGGCACAAAGTAAAGCATGATACGGTCTTGGCTGGTGGTTTACAAGGGATGGGAAGCACATGGGTCTAGCAGTTAGTAGCGGGTACTGCTGTTTAATAGCACTGTGTGCTGCTACAAACTTTTAATGTACATATGCTCTTATTTAAGCCTCAAAAATCCCTGTAAGGTAAGTACTATTGTCATATGAAGAAACAGAACAGAAAGGTTAAGAATCATGTTCAAGGTCATCACAGCAAGTGTGTGAGTAGATCTGGGCTCTGGACCCAAAACAAGCCTCCAGTCTTAGCTACCTTGCACTCATAGTCTGTTATGAATCAAGATCAATTTTATATGTATCTTACCTTCTGCAAAAAAGAGTTTTATTTGTGTGCAACTGGTATGACATTACCCCACAATCTTAGGTACACCAAAAAAATCACACTTTTCTTCAAATCCAATTAAGAGAGGCTTCAAGTTCCACTTGCAGAGATTGGTGAGGAGTTCAATATCAGTGGTCATTGCAGGAGTCCTTTTCTTTTTTTCTTTTTTTTTTTTTTTTTTTTTTTTTTGAGACAGAGTCTCGCTCTGTCGCCCAGGCTGGAGTGCAGTGGCGGGATTTCGGCTCACTGCAAGCTCCGCCTCCCGGGTTCACGCCATTCTCCTGCCTCAGCCTCCCAAGTAGCTGGGACTACAGGCGCCCGCCACTACGCCCGGCTAATTTTTTGTATTTTTAGTAGAGACGGGGTTTCACCGTTTTAGCCGGGATGGTCTCGATCTCCTGACCTCGTGATCCGCCCGCCTCGGCCTCCCAAAGTGCTGGGATTACAGGCGTGAGCCACCGCGCCCGGCCTGCAGGAGTCCTTTTCCAGGCACACATTTTGCTTAGAAAATTCTGAGACCTCAAATCCCCCTCCATCCTGGTAGTGCTGAACTGTTCACTGGCCAAGCCTGCATTGCCTGTTTCAGGGTGACCGATGACAGTGTGCATCTCTCCACGCTCCTCTTGGCCTCCGTGGTCCTTTCTGGGGCTCCTGAGGCCATGACTTTGAGGTGCTGGTTCCTAAGCGTCCACATGTCCACTGTTGTCAGAGGTTTCTACCTTCTCCTCCTGGGGAGCTTCATAGATGTGGAACCTGGTACTGATGCAGACACAGAATGCCACATGGACACAGAGCTTCTTGGGGGGAAGGGAAGTGTACCTTTCATTCCTTCATTATAAATTTATATGAACTTAGTTAATTTCTCTGACAAATTATTCTGTCTGTAAATGGCAACAAGACTCAGAATAACTGACTTTAAGCCATTTTATTAGTGTCCAGTTTACATTTCTCAGTGAAAATATCTAGTTGTCTAAACTGGGATAGCCTCAATTCATTACTTGTACTATCCCTGTGAACTTGGGTAAATGAATTGAGTTCCTTACGTCTCTGTTTCATGTTTTGCAAAATGGAAATAATAATAGCATCTATACTACAGAGGGCCCTGGGAGATCAGCTGTAACAAAGACACTGAGTTGTAGAAAGTCCGAGGTGCATTTGGGGAATGGCAATGGCAATCATTCCGGTTAGGTTGGTGCAAAAGTAATTGCAGTTTTTGCCATTACTAATAGCAAGCTGGAGGGGAGTGTACAGGTGGGTGGGGAAAGGCTAGAAGTGTGTAAATCCTCTTTTACAGAGTTTGGACTCACACTGGCCTTCTTTCCAGTTTTATTAACTGGAGTTTGTGTTCTGACTCAGACGTGTACTGAAATCCCTCTGATAAACTATTTTGTCCTATTTAGGATGCGACCGACTTTGAGTGGAGCTTCTGGATGGAATGGGGGAAGCAGTGGCTGGTGTGGCTTCTCCTTGGCCACATGGTAGTGTCTCAAATGGCCACACTGCTGGCAAGAAAGGTATGATTATATGTGTTGTTACCTTTTAAGTGTGTTTTTCCTTTGCTTCTTGTGAAGAAAGAGTCCAAGCTAGGAATCGGAAGACTTGGATATTAGCACTGGGAGCCTGGAAAAAATGATAAAGTTGTTAACAATCAATATAACATTTAAGATAAAAGTTCATAGTTCATATCCTGCACTTGCTTTCTCCAACTTATTTTCAGGCATTGAATATAAAGGTTGTAGTGTAAAACTAACCATGGAGGGTGGTGGTGGTCTTTAAGATCACTTCTAATCAAATGATCAAAAAGTTGCCTGTGGTTGAGAATCTGGATGAGTTCACTTGCAAATTCAGAAGAAAGTTGATGATTTACTTAAGAAGTGGGAATAATTTTAAAGTCAAGTAGTTTATGCTGCTGTCACTGTTTTAGATGGGAAGTCCAGTAGCATTTTGCTCTTGCCTTGGGCTGGCTTAGAGGATGAGAGATTCTTCAAAGTGGTTATTTGAAAACTACTTTTATGTGAGGCAGGATTGAGACCCTCTTCACAGGTCTAGCTACCAAGGGACCTGATATACTGCCAGGAGGATCTTTCTGTCACCTGGGGGCCAGGGTATTGCCCAGAGGCCTCTGATAAATACTTCTTGCTTGCTATAGATTCCTGATGGAGGAAAAAGTCTGTGCTTGGAAATTTACCGAATAAAAGCAAGACACAACCAAAACCTGATTTGGAAGTCAACCTAGGAAAAATGTTTTGATTCTCAGAGGTTCCCGCAGGTGATAAAACTGAAGTAGAAGAGAAACAGAAACCTCTGGAGATTGAGACCAGAAAGTGAGATGCAGAAATAGGATGTCCTGTGGTTAGAGATGCGCACCTAACTTGGGCCAGTTTCTGACTCTTTCCTGAAAATTGGCGTTTCCTGGGCTTGCTCCTCACCCTGGAAGATAGGAAATCCCGACAGCATATTAACTTCTTCTTGAATATGATACTGATTTTTTTTTTGTACTCAAGTGGCTGCTGAACTGGCAAAATCCAAAATATTAGATGTTGTCAGATCTGAGTATATTTTAAAATTTCATTTAACTTTGTGAGCAGACCTAATAATAATTTTTTTTGTTCCTAAGCTAGTAATAAATATATCTACCTCAGCCCTCATTAATGGTTTTCTTTACTCCCACAAATTTCTGTTTAGTTTTTTTTTCCCCAAGAATTCAAAACTTCTGGAAATTTAACATTTTAATTCGTAACAAAGTTTTCCCATCCATGTGTAAATGACTTATTACCATAAGTCTCAGTTTTCCCGTATGTAAAATAAATAGCTTCATACCTGTTTTTCTTTACCTCTGTGAGGGGAAGATGATGTACTTTGAGGATTGTACTAAGTTAATTGCATAGTGGAAGAGTGCTAGACATTGTATTACTCATGTTTGGTCCTTGGTTCGATTAGCTTTCTAACCTGAGCAAAGGTTTTCACTGCATCTTCATTTATGGTCTTAGTGCATTTTTGTTGCTTATAAGAGAATACATAAAACTGAGTAATTTTATAAAGAAAATGAACTTATTTAGTAATTTATGAAGAAAAGGAATTTATACAGTTATGGAGGCTGGGAAGTCATAAAACTGAGTAATTTTATAAAGAAAATGAACTTATTTAGTAATTTATGAAGAAAAGGAATTTATACAGTTATGGAGGCTGGGAAGTCCAAGTCACCACATCTGGTGAGGGCCTTCTTGCTGACATCGCGGCAATCCTGAGGCAGTGCAGGAGATCACGTGGTGAGCATGATAGCTCAGGTCTCTTTTCCTCTTCTTATAAAGCCACCAGTCCCACTCCCGTGATAACTCATTAATTCATGACATGGTTTGGCTCTGTGTCCCTACCCAAATCTCATGTCAAATTGTAATCCCCACGTCTTGCAGGAGGAGCCTGGTGGGAGGTGACTGAATCATGGGGGCAGACTTCCCCCTTATTGTTCTCCTGATAGAGTTCTTATGAGATCTCGTTGTTTGAAAGTCTAGCACTCCCCACTTTGCTCATTCTCTCTTCTGCTCTGCCACGGTAAGATATGTTTGCTTCCCCTTTGCCTTCTGGCATGATTGTAAGTTTCCTGAGGCCTTCCAGTCATGCTTCCTGTTAAGTCTGTGGAAGTGTGAGTTAATTAAACCTCTTCTTCATAACTTACCTAGTCTCAGGTAGTTCTTTATAGCAGTGTGTAAACAGACTAATACAACTGATGAATGAATTAATCCATTAATGAGGGCAGAGCTCTCATGATCCAATTGCCTCTTAAAGGCTGTACCTCACAATATTGCCACATTGGGGATTAAATTTCAGCACCAGTTGTGGAGGGGACAAACATTCAAACCACAGCGGTTGTCCTCTGTAAAATAGGATCAATAAGATAGTATTAGTTTTTTTTCTCCCTTTAAAATATGATGAGCTTCATTGGTTAGACATTTCATCCTTAAAAGTAAAGATGAAACATGGAAAAGTGGGACAAAGAGAAAGCATAAAAGAAATGGTTGAAGTAAGTTTAAATATGTCAGTCATTGCAATCAACATAAGTGGATTCTCAAAAAAGATGAAGATTGTCAGACTAGATGAAAAAAAGAAAGAGAAATAGAGGAAAACAAAAACCAAAACAGAGCTCAGAGAGGCTCTTCTTAGCTAGATATCCTTAAAACAGAAGGACACATAATTTGAAAGTAAAAGGTATGAAAAGATATTCCAGGCAAATATTAAACCCCCTCTCCCTCTGACAAACTACTGGTGCAGTTTTATTAATAGCAAAGAGCATTACTAGTGACAAAGAGGGCTGCTGTTTAATAATAAAGAATTCGTTTCTTATTAGGAAGATATTAAAACTCTAAGTTTATTTGCTTCAAAATATATAAAGCAAAAAGTGATCATAAACATAAAGATAGGTCTATTATTGTAGGGAGAGATTTTTTTTCTTTCAGTAGTTTTCGGGGTACAGGTGGTTTTTGGTTACATGGATAAATTCTTCAGTGGTGATTTATGAAATTTTAGTGTACCTGTCACCCAAGCAATGTATACTGTAGCCAATATGTAGTCTTTTATTCCTCACCCCCACAACCTTTCCCTCCAAAGCCCCAAAGTCCATTATACATTCTTATGCCTTTGCGTCTTCATAGCTTACCTCCTACTCATAAGTGAGAACATAGGATATTTGGTTTTCCATTCCTGAGTTACTTCACTTAGAACAATGGCCTCCAGCTCCAACCAAGTTGCTGCAAAAGACATTATTTCATTCCTCTTTATGACTGAGTAGTATTCCATGGTGTATATATACCACATTATCTTTATCCACTCATTGGTTGATGGGCACTTAGATTGGTTTCATATCTTTGCAATTGCAAATTAGGCTGCTATAAACATGCAAGTGCATGTGCCTTTTTCATATAATGACTTCTTTTCCTTTGGGTAGATACCCAGTAGTGGGATTGCTGGATCAAATGGTAGTTTTACTTTTAGTTCCTTAAGGAATTCCTATACTGTTTTCTATAGTGGTTGTACTAATTTACACTTCTACCAGTAGTGTGAAAGTGTTCCCTTTTTACCACATTTACACCAATATCTATTGTTTTTTGACTTTTAATTATGGATTAATAATTATGGAAATTAAGTTGAAAAGCAATAAAAACAAGATCTACTTTTGTCAAACTAGAAAGTATACATATACTTATCTCACAGTAATTTTCAAGATGAATTAAGGAGTTAAAATGAAAATCAAAAGTATTAAACTTTTAGAAAATATGACATAGAATATTGATGTTGGCACAGACAGAGATTTTTTTATACAAGACACAAAAAGTGCAAATTATAGAGGAAAACACTGATAAATTTAACTACGCTAAAATTAAAAACTTTTTATCTAATGACACAATAGAAAAGTGGAAAGGCAAGTCACTAGTGGAGAAGTAATTTGCAAACTGACAAAGGATTGGCATATGGAATAAATTTCATAAAAAAGACAAAATCACTCAATAGAAAAATGGTACAAGATATGAAGAGGAATTTGTAGAAAAGGAAACATAAATGATGAATAAACATGAAAAAATGTTAAATTCATTAGTAATCAAACAAATGCATCTTAAAACTACAATAAGATAACATTCTATGCTTTCTAGTTTGGCAAAAACAAAACAAAAATCCCCTGATATCAGTGTTAGCTGCCTGAACTCATACAGAAAGGGTGTTGAATATGTATTTGTATAACTACTTAGTAACACATTATATAGTAAAGCCAAAGAGGGGCCTACCCTACAGCCACCAGTGCTATGTGATTTTTTTTTCCCCCCTTTACAGACAGGATCTCATTGTGTTGCCCAGGCTGGAGTGCAGTGGTGTAATCATGGCTCACTGTAACCTCCAACTCCTGGGTTCAAGCAATCCTCCTGCCTCAGCTCCCGAGTAGCTTGGACTACAGGCTGTGACACCACACCTGGCTAATTTTAAAAACTTTTTGTAGAGACGAGATCTTGCTGTATTGCCCAGACTGGTCTTAAACTCTTGGCCTCAAGTGATCCTCCCATTTCAGCATCCCAAAGTGCTGGGATTACAGGCATGAGCTACTGCACCTGGCCGGATATTTCATATATTTTTAACTGAACACATGGAAGAATGAAATGATGGGCAGAAGGAAAGGTGGGAGTTGCCCTGGGGACACTGTGTTTTTCATCTGTCCTCCCCACGTCTCTGGGCCATACACATCAGGACCCACATGGCCTCCTCTGATGGGTCTCCTTTGCCTCTCACCCTTGTTCTTGTTCCTCCTTGTTTGCTTCCTGTAGATCAGTGTTTCTTAAATTTTTTTCAGTATTGTCCCCAGGGCACCTTTCTAGATAATTTTTTTCCCTGATCATCTCTCCTCTGTGAAATTTTAATACTACAGATATCCTGTTTATATCTCTTCATGTACTGTGCGTATGTCTGTGCTTTATGCATAAGGAGTAAGGTTTTCTAGCCCCTGATAACTGACAAGTAACCTAAAACTTAGATAAAATATAGTACTAATCTTCTACAAATGTTAAATTATTAAAAAAATAATAGAGATAGAGTCTTGCTGGTCTCAAACTCCTAGCTTCAAGCGATCCTCCCACCTCTGCTTTACAAAGTGCTGGGATAACAGGCGTGAGCCACCATGCCCAGTCATTACTAATTTTAATTTCCATTCTATCCTTAGGTCTAGCCTACAAAATCTGCCCCACCCCACCTCGTTTATAGGAGATACAACCCTTGTTGAGAATGCATGACTGATATTAATAACCTGTTCCTGATTAGATGCCCCTCCCTCTTTCCAAACCTCCTCCACGTTCAGCTCCTGTTTCGCACCTGACATTGGCAGAAATCTAGCTATATTAGGATATAGATGTCCCTTCATTTTATTTGCTTGTACCTTTGAGTTCTTGCTTCTCCTCTCGTGGGAGGCAGTATTTGGTGTGGTTGAGAGCACTAGGGTCAATCCCTGCATTGGCCACTCTCAAGCTGTGTAACCTTAAACAAGTTCCTGAATATCTCTAAGGCTGCTTCCACAGTTGTGCAAGCAGGATGGCACTGCTGGCTTCGTGGAGTTGTGGAGAGGGTCTGATAATCAAATGTTTTTCAGAGTTATGCTTGCACATGAGGACAGCCCAATAGATGGTGTCTGCTGCTGTCATCTGCTGGCATTTGCTCCTGGGAGCAGTTTATGGTGTTCAAGAATGGAGGTGACGGTCTTGAGATTCCAAAATCCTCAAGGGCATAGGCCATGTCTAGCATCCATACCAATGTTCCCATACTGATGGTCTTTTCAAGCTTGTCTTGGGTCCTGGGGGAAAGGATTGAGAAACACAGCCCCTTCCCTTGGGGAGTCACAGTTGAGTGGGAAGTTAGGAAAGCAAATACTGCTCACTCTTCTGTACCTGATGTTGTTGGCTGGGCACGTTACTATGGGAGAAGGTGTAGGTCTCACCTGCCGTTCTGGTCTCAGAGCAGGCCTCCGAGAAGGTGGCTTTTGAGCTGTGGCTTGAAGGAAATGGAGTTTACTTATTTCACCTTTCTGCATCTTGTTACCAGGCAGGGGTGGACAGGTGGACTAGGCTTCTTCTCTGCAGAGCACATCTTATCCAATATCAGTAGGAGGTATTCCTTTGCATTTTTCTTGGAATGAGGCAGAGTGAGCACTGAGTCATCTCCCTCTGTATGTGCCTCTCTCATCCTCTGGGTGACCACGGGTTTGATTTGTGAGACAGCTGGTGGGCCGGGTTCTGCCTGTGGCTGGGGCACAGTGCTTTCTTTGTCTGAGTTTGCTTGGCCCTTACATAAGTATGAACCACAGCGTTGGCCTCATTAGCTCTCTGCTTTCACCACCTGGACTAAGTGTTCCAGATGGCCTTAATTCGGGTAGTTGTTTTTGGTACTTACTCAGAGTGGAAGATTTAGGCTGCAGTTGTCCTTTTTTCTCCCCATTCTCTGAGGCATCCTAAACTATAGGCAACACTATGCAGGGACAGGCTTTAGCAATTCTTGCTGTTGTAGCCTTAAGCCCTGAAGGATTCTAGCCTCCTCCTTTATCTACTATCTAATCTCGTCTCTTCCTTGGCTCATTCCACCTCCTCCCATGGAGAGGTGACAGGTTATTTTTATTTTCAAAAGCATGATCTATCTTTTTTTTTTTTTTTTTTTTTTTTTTTTTTTTTTTGCCATGGTAAGAAATAAAACTTTCCACTGAGTTCCTTGGCTCAGTTAAACACCCTTTCCCTGGATAAGGCTCTCTCTTTGGGTTTTGGTGAGACTTCATCAGGAGCCAGTGCCCCTGGAGGGAAGGCTGAATCATGGCTTTCAGCTTTGGCTGTGCATTTGTTATGATTGGATTGGATGTCACGGGTCAGACAGTTGCCTCCTTTCATGAACGCCAACTGTGGCCTCACTACCACCTGAGACATTGTGTTCTCTGCCCTCAGAACCAAAAAATACCCCCGTGTGAACTTTTTGAGAAGACTGGCCTGGTGTAGGGTTGAGGGTGGGTGCTGTTGCTAACCACAGAGCCGGGTTCTCACTGTGCCTCTGACGGGAGAACCCACATCATTAGCAATTGACTGACAGGCTGAGCTCATCAGGCGCAGGTAATGCAAAGGGCTGAGAAGCCTGACCCATGGTGCTGAGTGAGATGAGTTAACCAACCTCTGGAAGGCTGCAGGGAGCAGGGTTCTTTTCCAGGACAGTCCCAAATCTATCCACTGAATAGAAATCTCATGTGCTAATGGTTTTCCTGGAATCAGCCCCTTCTACCTCCATCAGTGCATGTCTAAGGAGGGATGAAATTCCTTTTACGTGGGCCTGCTGGCCTTTGCTCCCAGGAAATGGGATGCAGTTGTTCAGACTGTGGGATGGGTGGGTTGTATTTTTCTGTTTGGGGAGATTATATATACATATGTATGTATATATATAATACATATATATTTCAGTAGCAGCTGCTATTGATTATGTAGTATGTAATAAATTGTGTCATACATAAGATTGATTGATTCCCTTTATTATTTTCCGAATAATGCTCCCATTGAGTGGTTTCTTGGCAGATGTGCAAAAAGAATTAATAGGCAGGGACGTCTGATAATGTTGCCAACAGGAATTCTGACCAAGGCTCTACACTTTCACTCCTCCCTACAGAGGTAAACTCTAAGGAGGGAACCCACCAGGCATACCCTATTATCACTTGGCACCCTTGGCACAGAATGAGCTGAAGTAGAAACAGATGGTGTGAGAAGGGGCATTGTCTGGCAGTTTTTCCTGACTCCTTATGAAGAAGGTTAAGAGTATGGATTTCAAAAGAAAGGAGGGCAAATCTGTAGTCTTTTCTTAAGGGCACTGACACCAATCCTTGGAGCTCTGCCAGCTCAACTGGTTATTCTCCCGGGAGACTCTGCTGGGGTGATGGATAGAAGCCTCTATAACAGGTATCCACTTTCCTGGATTGGTACCTGTGCCCCATCAGTTGTTAACTATTGGAGATTTCCCCCAACAGAAGTGGAGTTGTTAAGAGATGCTGTGAGTAGCAAACAGGTAATAGGCAGTGAGATGTGAAATGTCTCTTCCATTCTACCTACATTAGCAAAACAGCCATTGTTTATAAGGGGTTAAGTAGGACAAGTAGAGACTTTGGAAGACAGTAGGTTTTCACATTATTGGGTTCCAAAGTCCACATTTTACTGCTATTTTCTTGTTTTTTCTTAGTCATGATCTCAAGGTTAAATCCCAAGACTTGGGAAAGCATATCCATCTACCCAGCTATCCATCCATGCAACTATTCTCTCCATCCTTCCATCCAATAGTTATGAAACACGTGATATATGCTAGGCACTGTGCTAGATTCTGGGCTTACATTACTGTAATCTAAACAAGGCAGGAGTTTAGCCTATTAAGGAGACTATCAAGTAGAGTCAGACCCCATTTTGAGAGTGGTTCAGTGTAGACTCAGGGAGCAGAGGGGAAGGATGCCTGCTTAAGTCAACCAGGGTTAGTAAGATCTATGTCTCATCAAAAAGGCCATAGCGTTCAGTCTGGCTTTGTCTCCACTGCTGTAAAAATAGAGTATACTTTCTTATTTTTCATCAGCCTTTTAAACACTTCCCCTCTTCCCCGGCTTTCTGTTTCATCTCCTATTAGAAATGGAAGAACCTGGAATAAAGACCATTGAGTGAGGGTCAGAGTAGTTCCGGTGGGGCTGTCATCCTGTGCTCCAGCAAGCTCATCTCAAGCTTCAGGTCACTCATGCTTTGATACCTTTTAAAAGAGCATGATAAATTCAAATTAAAACCACAACGAGATGTCATTACACACTTACCAGAATGGCTCAGATAGAACATAGTAACAGCACCAAATGCTGGCAAGGATGTGAATAAACTGGATCACACATGCATTGCTGGCAGGAAAGTATAATGCTACAGCCATGCTGAAAAACTGTTTTATAGTTTATTATAGAACTAAATATGCAACTACCTTGCACCCCAGCAAGTGTGATCTTGGGCATTTATCCCAGAGAAATGAAAACTTATTTTTACACAAAAATCTATGCATGTGTGTTTGCATAAGTTTTATTTGTAATAGCCCCACATTGCAAACAGCCTAGATAGCCTCCAGTAGGTTAATGGCTAACAAGCTGTGGTATATCCACATCATGGAACACTACTCAGCAATGAAAAGGAGCAAACCATTGATACAGCAACTTGGATGAATCTGCAGGAAATTACGCTGAGTGAAAAAAGCCAATCTTTGAAATGGAGAAGAGGTTACTGGTTGTCAGGATTAGGGATGGGGGTGATCAGAGGAGTGGGAAGGAGGTAAATGAGGTATAAAATGGCAACACAAGGAATCCTTGTGGTGATGGAGCTGTTCTGCATTTTTACCATGGTAGATACCAAACCTATACATGTGATAAAATTGTATAGAACTAAACACACACATAAATTAATAGAAGTGAAACTAGAGAAATCTGAATAAGTTTGGTGCATTGCAGCAACATCAATATCCTGGTTATGATATTTGTGGTTTTAAAAAATGTGCCATAGGAAGAAACTGGGTAAAGTATACAAGGGATGTCTCTTGTATGTATATGTGAATACAACTATCTCAAAAATCTGAGAAAGAACATTACATAAAAGTTGTATGCAACTGGAATCTGTAAATCAGAAACATCACAATCCAACATTGAGGCCATGTTTTACCTATACACTTTATGTGATCAATGTGATTCTTTGTCTTCTTTCAAGTAACAAGTAATTCCCAATCATCTTCATAATTTGAACCTTGTAATTTAAATGAATTGGGCTATTTTGGTGTTTAGGTGGGTTTTTAAACTTGAGTTTGACGTACAGTATGTGTGTGACCAAATCTTGTATGTCTGCTCTTATTACCCTGAGAACTTGGGGAAAAAAATCTGAAAGCCTTTCTAGTGATGAGTCAGAAGTGTTGTTTTGGAACAAAATGCAACACAATTTTTTTTTTTTTTGAAAAGTTAAAAAAATTCTGGCCTGGTTGATGTCAGAAGCTTAATACTGATAGTTAAGCATTTTTACTTAAGAGAGAAAAAAGGTTGATAAATACATAAGCACATTTGGAGTAGAGATGGATGGGACAGGGCTATCTTTAGGCCTTTGCTGATGAAACTGGCCTTTGAAATGCTTAGAAAAAGCTCTTCTGCTGCCCAAAGAAGCAGGCCGTCCATGCTGCTGCCCACCCTGCTGGGCCATGTCACCCTTTTATCCTAGAACCCTCTTCATAGTGCTTGAGATCTAGGTATGTGCATGGGAGGGATCGTGGTTGGGCAGCTGTGCCCTAAGGGCTACCTCTATAATGGGGACTGCCCTGCCATGATGCCAGTTGGATTGCAAGACATGGGAGGCTGATTCTGCTCTAGCAGGATTTTATTTACTTGTTTGTTTGTTACTTATTTTGAGATGGAATTTTACTCTTGTCTCCCAGGCTGGAGCGCAATGGCGCGATCTTGGCTCACTGTAACCTCTGCCTCCCAGGTTCAAGCGATTCTCCTCTTGCAGTATTTTAATGGTGTTTTGGGGATAGGATTCATTCCAATAGCATTTTTATAGACAAAGTATGAAAATCAACATTTTAGTGGGATTCTAATATATACAACAGTTTCGTGTAGGTGATTCTTTTTGCATTATTCACATCTTTTCATTGCCTGTGCATCATGAATGTATATAGTAGAGTTGCTTGTACTTGGGGAGAATCAATGGGTAATATTAAGATGGGTAGAGAACATGAGGCTCATGTGAGAGCGTGTCCTGTGATGTCTTAGAACAGTATTAAGTGTCGTCTGCCTGTACTGTTTGGCAGTAGGGAAACAGTGGGGGATGAATATGGGACAAATTTTTCTGCCCCAAGGTGGCTTTGGAGACCACTGTTAAATTCATCATAGTCTCTCAAGTAAATGGGGTTTACACAGCACTATCAAGTATTTCCTGAAGCTTCTTTCAGCATTTTCCAAGTTGAAGCAGCTTCAGTCTGTGGTAAGTTCCCAAACGAATCCCAGCAAACAGGCTTTTTCCAAAGGGATCAAATAGCACTTAATAAAAACATAACTGTGTCTATGTATGTAGCCACACATGCACAAAAAAGAATTCCATTGGTAAATGCTGTAGGTCATGTTGGAAAAGAAGCCCCTTTTTTTCATTTGTTAAAACTACCTCTTAAAATAGTCTTTGGCCATGTATTCCTTATAATTGGACTCTGCCCAGAGGTGAGGGTTTGAAGCAAATTTATGTGGCTGTTTTCTGTGGGTAGTAGGATGGAAAAATAGTAAAAATGAACTTCACATTTCTCTGGTTTTCTTGGAACTTAAAAATGGCTGATCTAGTCTCATATTTAAAATGTTCTCTTGAGCTAGAGTATAGGTTTGGGAAAGAATGGTAGGTAGGCAATATTTTGAAAGAGTTAGCATCAAAGCACGGGATTTGCAATTTACACTCCACACCTGTCTTGCCCTGAAAAAAGTCTTTGTTTCCACAAGACGACCTAAGTTCAGGCACTTATCACTTTTCAATTCGGTGGTTCCTGGGATCCACATTTTAAAATGCATGCCCGTGAGACATCACATTTCCCTATGGGAATAACAACTGTATTTGTAGAGTCCTTCCTGTGTATCCACCCCATGAAGGAGATATTGTTATTATTCCAGTTTTGTTTTGTTTTTGAGATGGAGTCTTGCTCTGTTGCCCAGGCTGGAGTGCAATGGTGCGATCTCGGCTCACAGCAACCTCTGCCTCCCGAGTTCCAGGGATTCTCCTGCCTCAGCCTCCCGGGTAGTTGGGATTACAGTCACCTACCATACCTGGCTAATTTTTGTATTTTTAGTAGAGATGGGGTTTTGCCATGTTGGTCAGGCTGGTCTTGAACTCCTGACCTCAGGTGATGCACCTGCCTCGGCCTCCCAAAGTGCTGGGATATCCCAGTTTTATATATGAAGAAATGAATCCACAGAGATGGAGTCATTTGCCTCAGGTCACACAGGTAGTTATGAGACACCAGCATTTGAATTTAGGCAGTTAGACTTCAAAGCTTGAATCATTAAACCACAATGATACCTTGCGTCTCAAAGTTAAAACATTGTGGTTTTTAAGGATTTCCCCATCAGGTCTGACCAAGGTTATATCATAAAGCAAAGACATGTTAATTCATCTACTTATTCAATGTGATAACTATAAATTAGTTGATGATTAGATAAAAATCTGTGATTCTCCTAAAATGGGAATAAATGTATCAATCAGGTAGACTATGCAAAGTCCTCAATAGCTCATAAAGCAGGTAAGATGCAATTTTTCTATGACATAAATTTGACTAATCAATATGCAAAAAATCAAAAATGCAAAAAAACCCTACATATTTAAAATCTCTGGCTTAGACTTTGGAAAGTCTTTTGTGGTTTGGATGGCCCAGTTTTCTTAATAGGTCTTCCTAGAAATGTGTACTAATACTTTCTCTCACCTTCACTTCTGAAGGATGCTGTATGTGGGATGTGGTCCAGTTGGCATTTTTCCAGCTGTCTTCTGGCTTCCATTGTGTCTGTTGAAAAGTCAATCCAATATCTTATTGTTGTGTGACCCAGGGGTCTGGGTGGCTTTGGTTGAAGGCAGGAGAGTGGTTACTTGCTTCTGGGTGGAGCTGATGGGACTCTGGGGGTTAATGTGGAAAGTCCCTCTGAATCTTGTTTGTCTGTGTTGTACCAAAATTCCCAGGGCAGTGATAAGAGTTTCTTTATTGGGTAATTAAACGTGATCCTCTTACATGTAGAACCTTCAATATCACTTCCATGAGCTCACTTCTGTTTATTTTCCTCCCTCCCCTCTTCCTCCCTGTCTCTCTCTGGATGGGCCCCACCATTTGCAGCACAGACCCTGGATTCTCATGCTCTATGGGATGTGGGCCTGCTGGTGTGTGCTGGGGACCCCTGGTGTGGCTATGGTTTTGCTCCATACCACCATCTCTTTCTGCGTGGCCCAGTTCCGGTCTCAGCTCCTGACGTGGCTCTGTTCTCTCCTCCTCCTCTCCACACTGAGGCTGCAGGGTGTGGAAGAAGTTAAGGTAAGTGTTTTCCTGTTACCATTGGGAATCCAGAGAAGGCCCCTTTGGCTTTGCCTTGATCCCAGTAGACACCTTGGTTTTCAGACAAGAGATGATTGTAGAACTGTGATGGGGCTCCCCATAGTGGCCGTACAGGGTTGCTACAAGTGAACCCTAGTGGTGCATTCTGCAATCCTATCATTCCTGGCTGTGTTTTAGCCCTGTGAGATTGCCCAGGGCTGGCCCTGTACCATCTCTCCCAGTTTAGGTGGGCATGTGGGGTGCCAGATGTCACAGGGCCAGAGGGTCAGGAACAAAGAGAGAAGAAACAAACAGATGATTTACTAAAAAACATCTGGAGAGTGCCCTACAATTTATAGGGAATGCACACATCACTCAACTCATCTGATGGCCACAATGGCCCTGTGGTGGTAAGTCAGGTCTTTTTCTTCTTCCTAGTTGATGGAACAGATTTATTTATTCATTTGTAGAGACGGAGTCTTGCTCTGTCACCCAGGGCTGAAGTGCAGTGGTGCGATCTTGGTTCACTGCAACCTCCGCCTCCTGGGTTCAAGCGATTCTCGTGCCTCAGTCAACCGAGTGGGTGGGATATAGGTACCTGCCACCATACCCAGTTAATTTTTGTATTTTTAGTAGAGATGGGGTTTCACCATGTTGGCCGGGCTGGCCTCAAACTCCTGGCTTCATGTGATCTGCCCACCTTGGCCTCCCCAAAGTGCTGGGATTACAGGTATAAGCCATTGTGCCCGGCCAGGAACATATTTATTATCTACTCATGTGACCCAGTGGAAGCTCTTTCAATTTAGGTAGTGAAAACAAAGTGTTTAGCCCCGAAGGGCACAGACCAAGCTTTCATTTCTGTAAACCCAGAGGCATTTTGACAGACTCAACCACCTATCCATTGTTGGTGCTAATAGAGGAGGACACTGGGCTCAAACCTCACTTCTTTAGGGCTTTTGTTTGCATTAGTAAAATCTTATTTTATAGGCACTTACCTTTTAGCTTTATTTTTTTTCTCAGTCACAATAACAGTGCATTTTTACTTTATGAGTGCACATCAGACTTGACCCAGAGAATTGGTGGATGACAGACAGACTGCCTTCTGAGTTGAGTTTCCTGTGCCTTGCTGAGGCGATTGCACCTATCAGCAAATTCTTCTTGTACTACATTTTCTGATTTCTGTTGTGTGTTCTCTGATCATCTCCTGGGCAGTGGCTAGCATCCCCTGGACGGCTCTGGACTATCTGTTTCTGTCTTTGGTAACTGGAGTGACCTAGCCCTGCTTATGCAATTGAAGCTTAGGCCCCTCAGCCTATCTCAGGCCCACTCAGGCTGTGTGAGGTTCCTTCTCTCACTTGTCTGTTGAATACACCCTTTACATGTTCAAGTTGGAGCTGCCAAGGTCTGTGGCTGCAGGGGAGTAAAGGCAGAGTCTGTGTGGAACTCTCAACCATCCAGAAGTGGGAGCTTTCTTTTAAGGAGAAATGCATGGCAAGAACACAAGTCCAAGGCCCCAGCTCCAGGGTCTGGTTCTGGGCACTCAGCTTCAGAGCCCTTCACTTTTGGGGCCAGTTGACTCTGAGAACAGCCAGCCTGAGAGTTGCGCAGCTTGGAAAACATCAGGGGTCATATGCCCAGGGCAGGACCATTGATGTTTCCCACCTTCATCGACCTTCTCCTTCCTAGCCCGGTTCCCAAACACTGCCCAACTGGCAGGAGCTGTTTTTTTGAGTCAGGCCAATCTGCTTACCTTTCCCTTTACACATTTACGTATGTTTATGCTGTCTCTTGGAACCAACCTTCTCATCATCCCTGTCCACCGGATTCTCTTTCAAAGTACAGCTTAGACCTCAGTCTCTAAAGGTAAGAAATAAAAGAGGGCCACAGAAAAACAGATCAGTTAGTGTCCGATACTGCTCTGAGAGCTGCTGGCTCTTACAAACTGGTAAACAATAAAACAGTAGCATGTAAGTGACCAGGTGTCACCTAGAGCTTTGGGGACACTGCACACACCTATCCCTTCCTCTAACCCCCTAGGATCTCCATAGGCACATTCAAAATCTTGGGCAGTGTTGGGTATTCTTTCTTCAATCACTGTGGGACTGGAACTCCTGTGGTATCTTTTTATTCATTCATTCAGTCACTCATTCATTGATCCAGGTGACAACACTTAGCATTCATGTGCCCTGCATCAACACAGTGATGGGAAGGAACATGATGGGAAATGTGAGATGGATGACCTGGTTCCTAGTCTATTCTATTCCCCATCTCTTCCTACTCTGAAGCTGGAGCAGTCATTTAACCTCTGAGCCTCAATCTCATCATTTGGAAAACAGAAGTAATAAATCCTCTTCCTTCCTCATGGGATTGTTCTGAGAGTCAAACGGGATAATCTATGTTAAGTGATTTTGTGAAAATTGTAGCATTTTGAAAGTTCAAGTATTTTTTGCTGTTTTTAGTCTACCTTCATTTTTCTCACTCTCATTAATGATGTGGGGCTAGCATTTTAAGCACGTATGTCAAAATCTGGACTTATGAGAGTATATCAGATAATCACTCCGTTTTAATGAAGATACTTCCCAGAATGATTAGGCAACCATTTAGGCAAGTGTGCTTAAAAACAGATTTACAGTAAAAATAAAAACAAGCTCATACCTAACCTTTTGGGGACCTGGCAAGTGTACAAACAGAATCTAATTCCATTTATCATTTATTTGGGGACAATTAGCATCAGTTATAGATGTTGGAGGTGAATAAATGTTCATTTGTTCTGCAAATTTTACAGTGATTTGAAAAACACTGAGGAAGGAGATCATGTGATTAGAAACTAGCTGGGTTTCCATGCTTTTGCACATGTGGTTCTCCTGATATGATTATCCTCTTTTCCCTTGGTGGCTGCTAAAGTCTTGTACAAGAAGTAGAAACTCTGTTCAGTGGTTGGTTTTTCTGTGTACAGCTTTAAGAGACCCTGATGGATCAAGTTAATTACTTTCTCCTTTGACCCAAGTTCTATTTCTCGTATGTATTTCCATAAATAGTTTTTCTCACTAAATGTATTTTTGGAAAACATGGAAAATGTAGAAAAATATAGAAATTAGAAAATACTTCATAATTTTACTCCCCGATATTAACATTTTATTGTATTTCCTTCTCATTTTTTGTTCCATGCATATTTTTGCACAGGTTATTTCTTGTTTCATGCTCTATTGTAATTGCATTTTTACACATCTACGTCCTGTATGAGAATTTAACATATTGAGGGCAGGGACTTTTTTTTTTTTTTTTTAAATATTTGTCTGTAAAGCTTATTAGACAAATGCTACTCAACTAAATGTAGAGCCAAACTGATAACAAAAGAGGAAAACGAAAAATACATTGAAGACAGAAATCCCATGGGACATTTTAAGCCCCTCTTTGTTATCTGAATTGTTGAAGAAGCTGTCAAAGTATCCACTGGATGTAGCTAATCTGCACCTTATGCCCTGGATGTATCTGATACATGCCTAACTGGGAAAACCTTCGTTATGTTGTGTCAGACCTAATGCTAGGTTAACATTAGAGATGTCCTTTTTCCTACTGCTCATTAACTGCTTGCTTTGATTACCAATGAGATTTACCTGGTGTTCATTGGTTCTCGACTGCCTTTTATGGCACAGCTGCTCTGCCTGAAGAAGAAATTGCCTTCCCAGAGCCCCCTGGGATTCTCAGATGACGGTGGCCCTGCTGGCCAGCACCTGCAGTGGGACTGGACGATGTCCCTGCTGGCCACTCAAAGGTTGTTCTCTCCTTTTGATTTTGTAGAGAAGGTGGTACAAGACAGAAAACGAGTACTACCTGCTGCAGTTCACGCTGACCGTTCGCTGCCTGTACTACACCAGCTTCAGCCTGGAGCTCTGCTGGCAGCAGCTGCCTGCTGCATCGACCTCCTACTCCTTTCCCTGGATGCTGGCCTATGTCTTTTATTATCCAGTCTTACACAATGGGCCCATCCTCAGCTTCTCGGAGTTCATCAAACAGGTAGAGCCCGCTGGGGATGGGATTGGGATTCTATAGCTTAAGCCTTTGTCGCTGTTGCTCTGGTCTTCTCTGACTCTTGAGTCGTTTTGTTCAGAGGTGCCCACAGATTTACAACACATACTATTAGTTCTCATGAGGTTTTTTGTAATAGATGAAATACATATGAGAAATGAGCCTTTAAAATAAAGTTTGACCCATCAGATATGTCAGCTCTAGGGGGTCCCACCTTGATTTTCAGTGAACTCTGGCAACCAGGATTAATGAGTAGGGCACAACAAGGAGTTTGGGAGTTGGTATCCACTGTGGCAAAGTCCCAAGGAAAGAAAAAAATTTGATTATGATGCTATTACTTGAAGGAATAGAAAAGGAAACTGTCTAAGCTGTTGCTTGGCAAATAGTATGTTTCCTTTTATATTCACAAGCTGCTTAAGAAATAGTCCTGCCATAGCCTGGGAGCTGTTCAGGGTGACCTAGGTGTGAAAACAGAGTGGAGTTGAAGTAAGTTCGAAGGCAGTGGTGTGTGTTCATGTCTGGATCCCCCTTTGTGCCCAGGCCCCCGCCTGCCTTCCTCGGACGGCATCCTTGTCTGAAATGCCATGTTAAGCTACCTCTGTTGTTCCCCCCTACTTCACTTTTCCCCCTTGTTTAGAACTTTCTTTTTTTTCTGCCTCCTCAACCTACCTCTAGTTTCATGGAACATAATTGCTAAGTTAATTCACCTAAGGAATTAGTAATTGAAAATGCCTAAAACAGTGTTCTCAAGGGATATTCTATCCCTCACCAACAAAACAATCCTCATAGAGGAGAAAATAACATGTACGTGCATACACAGACATGCATGCACACGCAGAACACATACCCACGCATACGCACACACCTGGAAGGGCAGGGCAAGCAGCAGTGTTGCACATTTCTGGGCAGCAACATGAAAGTTGCTCCCTGAAAAAGGAGGGTTCTTAGAAATCTTATTTTGTCCTCAAAGTTCCACTGAATTATGCATTGTATTCAAGAATATATTTTTGCATTATAACAATAACATAATGTTCTAAAATTTCCAGTGAAAGTATGTAACTTTTTATATCTCTAGAAATCTGTAAGTGAAATTGATATTCTAGACAGATATGTTTAGTCTATGGTTTCTCATACCTCGGTTTGGGATCGTTCTTTTGTCATGAAGGAATTTAAAATCTGCATTTGAAATTGTGTTTAAAATTATTGTGTAAAAGAGATGGTTTAATGATGGCAGCTGATCTTCTAACTCAATGATTTGCAAAGTGTGGTTCCTGGACCAGCAGCATCAGTATCGCCAGAGAGCTTGTTAGAAATACAAATTCTCAGGTCCTCTCCAACCTCCTGAATCACAGCCTCTAGGGATAAAGCCCAGGAAGGTGGTTTAACAGGCCCTCCAGGAGGAGGGTGGGAGTAAAGGTAAGGTGGGCACAGCATAGGGTGGGTTCCTCTCTTTTACAATCTCCTTACCTTTGTGAACTTTTGAATTATTCTCAGTTTGCCAGCCAATAACTTTTGGACCAAACATCCACACACAGACACCCCTCTCCTGAGGATGGCTGGTAATTTTCAGAGAAACATAAACTAAATCCATTAGAAGGAAACAGATTATTTTCCTAACTTCCTCCTGTATATAAGCTTTGCCTGTATGCTCTGTACTTTGTTATTATGCAAAATAATTGTTTCTGTTATTTCTCATCTCCTTTTTCTTCTTTTTTTTTTTGAGACAGAGTCTTACTCTGTCACCCAGGCTGGAGTGCAGTGGTGTAATCTCAGCTTACTGCAACCTCCACCTCCTGGGTTCAAGTGATTCCCGTGTCTGAGCCTCCTGAGTAGCTGGATTACAGGCATGCACCAGCAAGTCCAGCTAATTTTTTGTATTTTTAGTAGAGACCGGGTTTTGCTATGTTTCCCAGGCTTGTCTCTAACTCCTGAGGTCAGGCAATCTGCCCTCAGCCTCCCAAAGTGCTAGGATTACAGGCTTGAGCCTGGCCTCCCTTTTCAAATTGTGCCTTTTAGGGTCTAGTAAGAATATTAGAGGCCTCTAGCAGGGTCCTGTGTCACACAGAGGCACGCTTTAAGATTATCTTCCACCTAAATCCTTAGCCAAGGGTTCTCATTCTCTTGAGTCTCATTCTGGGGAAGTGAAGGGGCAGGTTGCTTCCTGTAGGGGCCAGGTATAGACACTCTGGGTTTTATCCATGTCTTTTCCTTCCCTCTCTCTCTCTTCTTTTTTAACCCCTTCTAAAACAATAGCAATTGCTGACAGCAGGGAACTTGAAAGGGCAAATTAAAACCTCTATGTTTGGGGGAGTATTCATAGAATAGTCATTCTAGAAAAGGATAAATGTTCAGTAAGATATAGGGCAAATTTAAAAAGCCAGGAGGTTTCTGCACTTGCTGAAGGTGGCTGTGGGGAACTTCCCTTCTGTGGGGAAGGGGGCTTTAAAGGGGCAGGGGGTTAAACCAAAAAGCTTATCTTGCAGTGAAAGGGTTCTTTCAGAGAAGCCAAAAAGGAAAAGGCTGGGAGGTGGAGAAAGAAAGCTAGTTGGAAGAACTAGTAAGTAAGATTTGCTCTGAATGAATGCTTGAATGAATGCATGCATGAAATGCCTTCAGCTATAAGGATTGGAAATATTGAAATGCATGGTTCTTAGACTGGCAGGTCAATGCATAAAAATAACGTAGAGCAGGAGAATGACGCTGCACCACCAGGGGGCAGCAGTGCCCCATTGTGGAAACCAACCCCAGCGGGAAATCTTCACCCAGTATCTGCAAACTCCAAAAGATCAAATGACAATGTTAGTTTTAGGCATACACCTGGAGAATGTGTCTTCCACCCAATTTACATACACAAAATGAGGGAGGTATAGAAGCGTTGTCTTCTGCAATGTAAAGCATGTGAAATTTGCATAATTAGTCACGAACAGGTAAAAATTTGCCTCTGTGCCTTAACTTGAAGGCTATTTCTGGTGGCATTTAGAGTTTTAGGAACATGGGCCTGATTTGTTTTTCTCTCACGTTTCTGTGGAACTCGGATACCAAGTCAGCGGTGAGACAGGGATCCTGGGGGACTTAGGGAAGGGAAGGACATGGTGTTTACTTGCTTAGCCTGAAGCCTGGGGCCACTACGTCTTGAAGAGGTTGACTGGTGTGGTGTGGGCACTGGGGAGAAGAGCAGCCTTAGGGTGGTGGGCCAGGGACTCTTCCTTGCTGGGCACTGTGCTCTCCCACCTTAGAGAAGCCAGTGGTCAAATAGGGAATTTGGCATGGAGGTTGAGAGCAAAGGTCCTGGAGCCCACCCTCCAGGGTTTGAATCCCTGCTGTGCTTCGGCTTGAGAGTGCTTGCTGAGTTACTTACCTTACTTATGCCTCAGTCTTCTTATCAGTGAAATGGGAAGAATAATAGTGCCTCCCTCAGGATTGCTGTGAGGATTAAATGATTGTGTATAGGTAATGTGGTTTGACAGGTTAATACTATAAAGTGTTAATTCTTACTCTTATTATTATTTGAGACAGAGTCTGGCTCAGTTGCCCAGGCTGGAGTGCAGTGGCACAACTTTAGCTCATCGCAACCTCCACCTCCTGGTATCAAGTGATTCTTGTGCCTCAGCCTCCCAAGTAGCTGGAATTATAGGCGTGCACCAACGCACCCAGCTGATTTTTGTATTTTTAGTAGAGATGGGGTTTTACCATGTTGGCCAGGCTGGTCTTGAACTCCCGACCTCAGGTGATCCGCCCGCCTCGGCCTCCTAAAGTGCTGGGGTTACAGGTGTGAGCCACCATGCTCGGCCTCTTACTTTTATTATTGTGATGATTGGCCAGAAAGCAAGTGTAATTCTAGGGTAGTTTAGGTCAGAAGTGAGACCCTGGGTATCCAGTCTGGTAGGCAGGCACAGCAGCAGGGGACTCTGGGCCATGGCCATGCTTGGGCTCAGAAGAGGCCAGTGTGCTGGTTCCATCTATTTGAAGAGAGACCCAGGCAGCTGCTGCAGGAAAGGGATGGGGGCAGTCCAAGAGTTGCTGGGACTGGCAAGAGCTGTGCAAGGCAGTCAATGTCCCAGAAGCTTTGTTTAGTACTTGGCATGGGCTCTGGTTCTAGAGAGCACCTGGAATCATGCTAATTGTAATAAAATATACTAGGTGATCATTTAGTCTGAGCCAGGCTTTATACGTTCTAACTTAAAATGTTTGAGATGGTCTCACTCTGACACCCAGGTTGGAGTGCAATGGTGCAATCATAGCTCACTGTAGCTTTGGCCTCCCGAGCTCAAGTGATCCTCCCACCTCAGCCTCCTGAGTAGCTAGGACTATAGGTATGCATCACCACACCTGGCTAATTTTTTAAAAATACTTTTCTAGAGATGAGGTCTTGCTATGTTGCCCAGGCTGGTCTCAAACTCCTGGCCTCAAGTGATTCTCTTGCTTCGGCCTCCCAAAGTGCTGGGATTACAGGCACACACCATTGTGCCTGGCCATTCTAGCTTGTTTAATCCTCACAACCTGTGAGAGAGATACTGTCATGACCACTTTACAGACAGGGAAACAGAGGCAAAGAGAGGCTATTACAATGCAGATAGAGTGAAGGGAATCAAGACATGAGCCTTGTTGCGCTGACTTGGTGTGTGAGAGGAGTTAGAGGGGGATGGAGTGTGGCCTAGTGGACATGAAGGTCTGGAGGCTCAAGCAGGCTGAACCAAGTACCAGCCTTGGTGGCAGCAACACCTGCAGGCCCCACTTGCTGTTCTGGGAGAGCTCACTGGATGTTGCTGGCCTTGGTCTGGATGGCTAGCGGGTGGGAGTAATGTGGGTCTGATTAGGGAATGATTTGTTAGGAGTAGGGGTATGGTCTGTGACCAGTATAAAGGAATACAACAACTGCCACAAGGCCTCCTAGACCCAAGCAGAGAGAAGCTAATAAGTTAGTGGCCCAGGTGGCCCAGTTGAATATCTGCCTCTGGGGAGGGCTTTTGTTTGGTGCTCACAAACATATGTATTATTCGTGTATGAAGAAAAAGAACCTTTCATCTTTGAGAACTGTCATCTTTAATCATCAGAATATATTTGGGAGAAAGAGAAAGGCATAGCTATTCCTTTTTATGCAATTTGCATGAAATTAGGTTTTAAAGTATAATGCATTTTGAAATGCACTTTGCAGATGAGTTAATGTGTATTTTTTAGTGATGCCTGAACTTCACAATTTCCATGGTGGCAGTTTCCAGTGGTCTAAAGGTTTGGCAGTCCCCTAGGTTTGAAATGTCTTAAATGAAATACTTTGCATGCAGGCAAGAGAGCCGCCCTGCACATTAGATGAGCTATATATGGTCTGTCTGTTCTTCCTGCTGGGTTGACAAGGGACAAATTTTGGATTTTTTTTTTTTTGAGACAGAGTCTGGCTCTGTCGCCCAGGATGGAGTGCAGTGCTGCGATCTTGGCTCACTGCAACCTCCACCTCCCGGGTTCACGTCATTCTCCTGCCTCAGCCTCCCGAGTAGCTGGGCCTACAGGTGCCAGCCACCACGCCCAGCTAATTTTTTTGTATTTTTTTTAGTAGAGACGAGGTTTCATCGTGTTAGCCAGAATGGTCTCGATCTCCTGACCTTGTGATCCACCCGCCTTGGCCTCCCAAAGTGCTGGGATTGCAGGCGTGAGCCACCATGCCTGGCCGGATTTTTTAAACAAAAGACAGTCAACTAGATTGCAGATGTAAATGGACTGTAATAATGATATGACCCTAAAGAAAGATGAAAAACCTTTTGTTTTTTTTTTTTTAAGTAAAAGCAAATAGAATGAAAGTTGGATTGTTTTTCTTTTGCTGTGTTGTTTATTTGTAAATTTTTTTTTTTTTTTTTTTTTTAAGATAGAGTCTCACTCTTCACCCAGGCTAGAGTGCAGTGGCACGATCTTGGCTCACTGCAACCTCCACCTCCCAGGTTCAAGCGATTCTCCTGCCTCAGCCTCCCGAGTAGCTGGGATTACAGGCACCTGCCACCACGCCCAGCTAATTTTGTATTTTTAGTAGAGACAGGGTTTGACCCTGTTGGCCAGGCTAGTCTTGAACTCCTGACCTCAAGTGATCCGCCCGCCTTGGCCTCCCTAAGTGCTGGGATTACACGCATGAGCCACCATGCCTGGCTTATTTGTGCAATTAATAAACATTTCTGTTGCTTGGAGCAGGGAGGCAGTCAGCACCAGAAAAGGAGTGTTGCAGAGAAAAGTCTAGTCCTTTTGGTCCTGTAGTGACATGTAATTATGCCTTATTATACCTGGTAGGGAAGTTTTAGCTTGTGAAAAGTAGGTAAGTCATTATTAAGAAGCCAATGCATGACAAAATGTACCTCATGATTTTTCTTAATTACAGATATTTGTGTCATTTTAGAATGCACATGTTTGAGGAGGGAAAGGAGGCCTTTGAATTCACCTTGAAACGTGATTGCCTGGAGCTGAGAGGTGATTGGGTGTCAGCGATATTTTCTTGATTATCTTGGGGGCTGTTGGTTCTGGCCTCCTCCTGGCTCCCTTCCAGTCCAGCTGCTATCTCTCCACTCCCTGGGATGGGGCTCCATACCAAATGCTGCTTGGAGGCCCGAGGTACTGTCCTGGCCTTCAGGGAACCTGAGCTTTGGGTAGGTTATGCTGAAGAGCCTGTAGGCCATATGCACAGTTGGCTTATTTAGAAACTGTAGACATTTGTCTGTGTGAAGATTATCTGCTGTCAACACTGCTTTTGAGGCCATTATCACGTTCAGCTAGAAGACTTGCTTCTCTCCAAGAGTTTGAGCAGGTTGGGCACAGTGA
Source organism: Homo sapiens (assembly GCF_000001405.40). Taxonomy (NCBI): domain Eukaryota; kingdom Metazoa; phylum Chordata; class Mammalia; order Primates; family Hominidae; genus Homo; species Homo sapiens. The sequence goes on from NC_000001.11 coordinate 210,411,487, forward strand.
TTTACACCTGTAATCCCAGTGCTTTGGGAGGCTGAGGTAGGAGGATCACTTGAGACCAGGAGTTCGAGACCAGCCTGGGCAACACGGTGAAACTCAGCTCTACAAAAAATAAAAAAAAATCAGCCAGGCGTGGTGGTACATGCCTGTAGTCCCAGCTGCAGGGGAGGCTGAGGCAGGAGGATTGCTTGAGCCAAGGCTACCATGAGGTAGGGTCACATCATTGCATTCTAGCCTGGGCAATAGAGTGACACCCTGTGTCATAAAGAAAAGAGTCTGGGTGCCAGGAAAGACCTGTCCATTGGTCTAGAGTGATTTTGCTGCCTCTACATGTCTTACATGCCTCTACATGCCTCTACATGTCTTAACCTTGGTGTGAACTCCTCTAGCCTCTACAGACTAATGGATAGTATGTATCTTAGTCCATTCAGACGGCTATAACAAAATATCATAAACTGGATGGCTTCTGAGCATCAGAAATTTATTTCTCACAGTTCTAGAGGCTGGGAAGTCCAAGATCAAGACACTGCCAGATTTGATGTCTGGTAAGGGCCTGCTTCCTGGTTCACAGGATGGTACCTGTCACTGTGTGCTTTTGTGGTGGAAGGGGTCTAACTCTTTGGCGTCTCTTTTATAAGGGTGCTATTCCCAACCATGAAGAATGCCCTCATGACCTAATTACTTCCTAAAGGCACCATCTCCTAGTACCATTACCTTGGGGGTTAGGATTTCAACATAGGAATTTTTAGAGGGATGTAAACATTCAATTAATAATATTTTGCCCCTGCCCCCTGAAAATTAATGGCCTCCTTACATGCAAAATACACTCATTCCATCCTAATAGCCCCAATAGTATTAACTTGTTCCAGCACCAACTCAAGTGTCTGAAATCCAAAGTCTCATTTAAATATCATCTAAGTCAGATGTGTGTGATACTCAAGGTATGATTCATCCTTATGCAAATTCCCCTTCAGCTGTGAGCCTGTGAAATCAAGCTCTGTACACCCAAATCCAATGGTGAGACGGGCATAGGATGGACACTCCAATTCCAAAAGGTAGAAATTGGAAAGAAGAAAGGAGTAAAAGCTCCTGAGGAAGTCCAAAACCTTAAGGCTCAGGAATCATCATGTTTGGCTCATTACTCTGCCCTCCAGGCCCACTAGGGTGGAGGTTTCACCTCTCAGACACACTGGGGTGCCTCTGGACACATGGTGGTGGGGAGGGGGTTATGCCTCCTGCAGATCACCCAGGCCAGAATCTTGAGCTGGTGGCTCTACTGGTCTGGGGTCATGAGACAGTGCCACCCTCATGGCTCTGCTGGGCCCTGCCTCTGTGCAGTTCTTTGTCTGGGCCCCATGGCTCTCTAGGCATTGTTAGAAATCTAGGTGGAGGCAGCCACACCCCCTCACAGCTTTTCTGGTTGCAGTGCCAACTACACTGCACTGGGGCCCACAGGAGCCACCCTTGGGGCAGCCAAGGAGTGTGGTGACGGGGAGTGGGGAGCAGAGCCCACAATGTGAGGCAGGACTGGGCAGTGACAGCCCCTCCTTTGCATCTGCAATTGCTTTGTCCCCCAGGCCTTTGCACTCTGGCCTGTGATGATGGTGGCAGCAGAGAGGGTCAAAATATTCACAGTATTATAATGTTACATTACTTTTTCTCTGACTGAAAAGAACCAATTTTAATTGTAAAACATAACTAAAATCTCACCATCCAAAGATTACCACTGTTGACATTTGGTGTATATCTTTCCAGCCTTTCATTATTTTATGCACATTGAACACAAATAGTTTTCATGACTGAATTCTCTTTGTGATCACTCTTCCATTGTCTTGGACAGGAGGTCCTGGCTTCTGTTTAAACAGCTGACTAACCTTATCAGGTGGTTGGTTGGCCACATTCTTGATGTTCTCTCCTGAACAGGCTTTCTCATTCTTGATAGTATGGAAAGGCTGAGAGTTTTCCAAATCTTTAAGTTCTGCTTCCCTTTTGATTAACAATTTTGTCTTTAAATCACTTTTCTCCTCTGCTGTTTTACTATAAACAGTCAAGAGGAGCCAAGTTGCACCTTCAACACTTTGCTTAGAAATGGCTTTAGCTAAATATCCAATTTCATTACTCACAAATTCTGCCTTCCACAAAACACTAGGATACGAACACAATTCAGCCAAGTTCTTTGCTGGTTCATAACAGGATTGCTTTTCATTCAGTTTTCAATACCATGTTTCTCTTGTCTAAGAAATCATCAGATTGGCCTTTACCATGCACATTTCCACCAACATTCTGTTCACTACTGCTCAGCTATTCTTTAAGAATATTGAGGCTTTCTCTGCAGCTCTTCTCCTTTCCTTCTGAGCCCTTGCCAAAATTTCCCTTAAAGATCCATTTACAGCAATGTATACTGCTTAAAGCATGCACCTCCAAACTCTTCCAGCTTCTATCCATTACCCCTTCCACACTACTTGCATATTTTTGGGTATTTTGTTACAGCAGCACTCCCACTCTTGGTACTGATTTTCTGCCGTAGTCCATTTGAGCTGCTGTAACAAAATACTATAAACTGGTTGGCTTATAAGCCACATAAATGTATTGCTCACAGTTCTGGAGTCTGGGAATTCCATGATCAGTGAGTTGGCAGATTCAGTGTCTGGTGAGGGCCCGCTTCCTTGTTCATAGATTGGCACCTTCTCACTGTCTTCACACGGTAGAAGGAACTAGCTAACTCTCTGAGGTTTCCTTGATGACAGCACTAATCCTAATCATGAAGGGTCTGCTCTCATGACCTAATCACTTCTCAAAGGCCCCACCTCCTAGTACCGTCTCTTTGGGGGTTAGGATTTCAACATATGAATTTTAGTGGGGCACAAACATGCAGACCATAGCAGTGTGTTTGTAATCATGTCTTCTTTTGCTAGTGGTTATTAGGTCAAAATGAACTTGCTTTGGAGAGCTGGAAAAGGGTTGAAAATGAACCAAGAAGAACTCAGTACATAGCTACAAAAAAAATCTAAGAGTGAAGGGGGAAGGAAAGGAGAAATAAAAATTAGTCTAGCATAAAACATGGAGAAGAATACTCACTCATAGAGGATGCTGGGCTTCCTGGCAGAAGTTCTGATGCCAGGCATTTGGAGAAGCAGGATGAAGAAACAGAGGGGTCTTGAGTACATTTGCCTCTCTAACAGAGAGGGCCCAAATATTCACAACATTGTAAGATCACATTACTTTTTCTCTGATTTAAAAAAGAACCAATTTGGCTGGGTGTGATGGCTCACACCTGTAATCCTAGCGCTTTGGGAGGCCGAGGTGGGCGGATCACTGGAGGTCAGGAGTTTGAGACTAGCCTGGCCAATGTGGAGAAACCCCGTCTCTACTACAAATACAAAAAATAGCCAGGTGTGGTGGTACATGCCTGTAATTCCAGCTACTTGGGAGGCTAAGGCACAGAAATAGCTTGAACCCAGGGAGGCAGAGGTTGGGGTGAGCTGAGATTGTGCCACTGCACTCCAGCCTGGGTGACAGAGTGAAACTCTGTCTTAAAAAAAAAATCTTTTTAATTGTCAAAAATAACTAAACTCTCACCATCCAAAGATGACCACTTTTGACATTTGGTGTATATCTTTCCAGCTTTGGATTATTTTATGCACATTGAATAAAAGTAGTTTTCATGACCATACAATATTGAGGTACACACATGCATTTAACCAACACCCTAGTGTTGGACATTTGGGTTATTTCCTTTTAACTTCTCGTTTATTAAAACAAACGTGAATGATCTGGCAGGTAGGTGTTTCTGCACTGAGGATTTAGTGATTGACTGGCTTGTAACAGATCTGCTGCCATAGACTTCGTAGGGTCTCTCAGAGCATGCATGCTTGAGGTAAGGATTCAAATGAAAACCATCCTCAGTTTATGCCCAGAAAGGGGTCTGCCTGGGGTCACTAGTGCATCTGTAATTGCAGTTAGGTCTGATCAATACAAGTCTGCAAATATCCAAGGATACCCAATCTTGCTTCTTGGAGAACTCAAATTCTGCTTCCTGTGAACACTAACCAGATGAATTCTCCAAAGCAATTACTGTTGTTTCTTAACAGTGCAGATTGGTATGGCTGCATAAAATATCTTCCTGAAGTGACCTGAGGGAAACAAAAGGCAAAAGGGAAATTCCTGTTGTACCAATTTTTTCCTTTTTTTTTGAGACAGAGTCTCTGTCTGTCACCCAGGGTGGAGCGCAGTGGTACAGTCTCAGCTCATTGCAATTTCTGCCTCCCGGGTTAAAATGATTCTCCTGCCTCAGCCTCCTGGGTAGCTGGGATTACAGGTGTCTGCCACCACATTCAGCTAATTTTTGTATTTTTAATAGAGACAGGGTTTCACCATGTCGGCCAGGCTGGTCTTGAACTCCTGACCTCAGGTAATCTACCTGCCTCCACCTCCCAAGGTACTGGGATTATAGATGTGAGCCACCGTCCTCGGCCTAATTTACATTTTAAAAGTTAAAGCAACAAGCTTTTCTGGGCATAGTTAACCAAGCAGATGGCAAAAGGGAGAAAGCTGTTTGTGCAGATGATTGTAATGCCAATGAGCCGACCAAAATTTCTTAGCCTGGCTTCTTGTTGCGGGAGGACAGTTAGAGAGACTGGAAGAATGTATGTTAGAAAATGGAATAAAAATAAATCCCCTGCCGTGTAGCTCTCTCTTTCCCGCTGGGGGCAGTGCCTGCCACTCTCCTGGCTGCAGAGGGTCCCACAGCACCCTGATGATGGAGGAGAGAGAAGCTAAGGAGGTACCTCACGGAATGGGCCTTTATGTCATGAGCCCTGATAGTCAGATGCTAAATCAAGCTCATTTCCTCTACCGGCTAATGTGTGCAGATGCAGCTTGACATTTAGCATTAGTCTGTCCTCTGCATTTCAAGGGAGCTTTCAGTCTCATAAAATCTTGTCATTGTGAGATCCAGAAAACTTACTGTTCTCTCTAGTTTTTCTGTATTTATATTTGTTTAGTGGTATAAGGCTGAACGAAATTGAATTCACTTCAAATTTTCCAGCATGTTTATGAATTCTAGAATCTATGTGTTTTAAGTTACTGTGCATCTCTAAACAACAGGCAGTGAGGTGAGACCACAGAACTGGGCTTTAAAAATTTTCATCTGTGTTGTCCACTGTATTGAGTATGCCCTCAGTAGCTTCTATCTGTATCTATGAATAATCAAAACATCCCTCTCTTGCCTTTGGTGTTTGGCTCTGAGCTGTCTCCTAATGCTGCCCTGTAGCTGGTTGTCTGGGATGCCACATGGGAAGGATGGGAAGACACACATGGAGGCGGTTAATGATAGATATTAACTACCAAGTATCCAGTGCTTCTTGTATGCCTAAGTACTTCACATACTTCATCATATTTAATCACCACAACAATGTTTTTTACTTTAGGAGGAAACCCAGACTCGGAAAGGTTAAGTAACTTGCTCAGGATCACACAGCTGTGTAGTTTGTGGTAGAATTTGATCCTGATCCTCTGACTCTAAAGTCCATTTTTTAAAGAAGAAAATTCCTTTTACAACAACATCAAAAATAACAAAATATTTAGGACTAACTTTAATCAAAGAAGTACAAGACTTGTACACTGAGCACTACACACATTGCTGAAAGAAATTTAAAGAAGACCTGATAAATGGAAAAACAGCCCGAGTTTATGGAGTGAAACTCAATATTGTTTTGATGGCAAAGCTACCCGAAGTGACTTATTTTACTTTTGTTTTGTTTTGTTTTTTAGACAGTCTTGCTCTGTCACCCAGGCTAGAGTACAGTGGTGTGATCTTGGCTCACTGCAACCTCCGCCTCCCAGGTTCAAGCAATTCTCCTGCCTCAGCCTCCTGAGTAGCTGGGATTACAGGCATGTGCCACCCCATGCCCAGCTAGTTTTTGTAGTTTTAGTAGAGATGGGGTTTCACCATATTGGCCAGGCTGGTCTCGAACTCCTGACCTCAGGTGATCTGCCCACCTGGGCCTCCCAAAGTCCTGGGATTCTAGGTGTGAGCCACCATGCCCCACCTTATTTTACATTTTCTAAAGTCTGTATTCTTAACTGTTATGCTCTGCTGCCTACTAAGCAAGAGACTTGTTCCACATACTGTCTGCCATGTTTCAAAAAACAACTTAGGGTGAAATGACATGCCCACACATCATTTTCCCTTGCTCTCAGCCCATCTTTTTCTCTTTCTCTTCTACCAGTCCTGTGTCTCTTGTTGACTGGGACCTGCTTTTGCCAGCCTCAGACATGAGTAGGTGATGGAGGAATTCAGGCAGGGTGGCACCTGTAGCCCGAAACTCCAAATTCCCAGTGGGGAAAATACACTGAGTGCTGCCCTCCCCGCTTGGGTTTTTCCAGGGCTGATGCTGGAGTGGAGGGATCAGTGCAGAACGTGTCTTTGGCTCTTGGCACTAGGCTAGCTTGTTGACCCCCAACCCCCATTCTTATTTTGAGACAAATGTTCAAGCTGAAATACGATTCTTCCAACCAAGAACATTGAGTGTTCCCAAGACAAACCAAACCAACCCTCTGTCAGCTGGCATAGCAATAATATTTGTGGGAAGTTTATGAAAAATCTTATCTAAGGGACTGTTTTAGGAATCAAGGCACCATCGAATGACCTCTTTTGTTTCCACTTTAGATGCAGCAGCAGGAGCATGACTCCCTGAAGGCCAGCCTGTGTGTCCTGGCCCTGGGGCTGGGCCGCCTTCTTTGCTGGTGGTGGCTGGCCGAGCTGATGGCTCACCTGATGTACATGCATGCCATCTACAGCAGCATCCCCCTCCTGGAGACTGTCTCTTGTTGGACCTTAGGTAATTGTGGGAATCACCAACAGTGGGATGAGCCCCAATAGTCCAACAGTTAGCATCAGAATGGAGCTGGAGTGGGGGGTGAGCAGGGGTGCAGGTGCCTATAGCAAACCCTCTTTATTATTATTTTTTAACCTACTCCTCTTGTGGCCAAGATTGTGCATGTGAGAAGTGGTTGATGTAGCTGACGGAAGTGAGGGCTGTGCTTGTAGTCTGGGGACCAAGAATGGTGGCATTCTTCTCTGTAATGGGATCCTACTGACCTTAGCTGGGTCCACATCTTCACAGCGTAGCCAATATTGTGTTTAGCAGTAGAAGGCAGGAGTTGCTGGGGGCAGCTTTGAGTTCATTCTAAGAGAGAATGCTCCAAGATTGAGTTGTTCCACAGTCTTCCTTGTTCTTTGTGCATAAGGTATTAAAGAATATGAGGCTGGGTGTGGTGGCTCATGCCTGTAATCCAAGCACTTTGGGAGGCTGAAGCGGGCAGATCACTTGAGGTCAGGAGTTTGAGACCAGCCTGGCCAAGAAGGTGAAATCATGTCTCTACTAAAAATACAAAAATTAGCTGGGTGTGGTGAGAGACACCTGTAATCCCAGCTACTCGAGAGGCTGAGGCAGGAGAATCACTTGAATCTGGGAGGCGGAGGTTGCAGTAAGCCAAGATCATGCCACCACACTCCAGCCTGGGTGACAAAGCATGACTCTGTCTCAAAAAAAGAATGAGTTTCAGGATCACACAGCCATAGGTTTGAGTTTCAGCTTCACCAATGACTGGTGTGTAACCTTGGCAGTTTACTTAACCTCTCGGTTCCAGCACCCTCATCTGTAAAATAGGGAGACTTAGCTTTGTGGAATAATAGGAGGATATTAGGCAGCGCTGCACATTGAGGGTGTACCTTGTACACTGTCTTGGGATAGAATAAATGGCGTGTGTGTATTTCCCTCTGTAGATCCCCTTTCCTTATCTACCCTTTCCTGTGTGTCTGCCAGGGAGGTGGCATGGAAGTCTTACTTCCTCAGCAGGGCTAGTCTCCAGTATAGGATTTGTCTGTGGAGAAACCACTGTTCTTTTATTCCTCTGGCCAAAACAGCAGAGCCCACGCCCTTTTCTGAATAAAATCTCTTCACTTCCTTGTTCTCTCTCCTTTTGAGGACTCCCGCAGTGGCTGACTTCTGCCTGTGCTCTGACCTCCAGCCTGTAGCTCCAATAACTGTGTGATCCTCCAGGCAGATCAAGCTGTTCCCTGCTGAGGGCAAGAGTACAAGCCTGACTCCTTCTTTATCTGTTTAACATTTCATAGATCTTCTTAAACAAATCTTGATTGTTCTTGGTATCACACGTACTTAATCAGAATGTTTCCAAGGACGAAACCTTTAAGATTGAAAAAATGCTAAGCTAGTTTAATGATAGTCTCTTTCTTCCAAACAAAACTTTTTATAGTTTGGAGTTGCTAATATTGTAAAGTTTTAATGATACAATTAGACAAACAGAATATGATTAAATGATAGCTTATACTAAGTCAGATCCCAGTTGTATGGGATACAAACTAAGGGACTGTTTCAGCTTGAGGGTTTTTAAACTAAAAGTAATGGAAGACACAACTCAAAATGGGGCTTAAACAATAAGGAAGTTATTCCATATAACAATGATACTTAAGATCGGCACTAGGGGTAGTAAATTATGTGACTCTGATGTCACCAACACACCTTTTGTGTGTCCACCATTCAGCTTAAGAACTAACCAGAATCGTAGAAGCCCTTAGTTTGTACTCGTAATCCCATCAGCCTCTATTACCCTCTCTGAAAAGATTACCTGAATATTGTATTTATCCTTTTCTTCTTTTTCTTTGTACTTTTACCACAGTTAAATCCTTAAAATTGCATATGTTAACACCTCGTCGTATGAATAGATTCATGCTTGTTATGTATGTTCTGTGACTTGGTTTTCTTGTTTAACATTATGTTTTTGAGAAGCATTCATGTTAAGACATGTAACTAGGTAGCACTTATTTTCACTGCTGTATGGCATTCCAGTGTATCCATATACAAGAAGTTATTTGTCCGTTCTACATATACGAGGACACTTGAGTTTTTTACAGGGTTTTGCTATTCCATATAATGCCATTTCTGTGTCTCTTGGAGCTCATGTGTAAGGGTTTCCCTGTAGGGCCATAACTTTCAAACTCTTTGGCACATTACCCACAGTAAGAAATACATTTTGCCCTAATGCTAAATAACGAGTTGATGGGTTCAGCCCACCAGCATGGCACATGTATACATATGTAGCTAACCTGCACATTGTGCACATGTACCCTAAAACTTAAAGTATAATAATAATAAAATTTAAAAAAACAAAAAAAAAAACAAAGAAATACATTTTGCATTACAGGTGTGTGCATGAGTGTATGCATGTCTCTGTGTGTGTGTAAACTCTCACAAAGCCATACTTTACCTTGAACCACCTGCAATGAATACTGACTGATATTTTCGGTTCCATATTATTCTATTTTAAAATATTGGAATATTTTAAAATATTTGAATCTCTGAATTGGGTGAGTCACTATCCAGAGTTTGTCAAGCATTGTTCAAATATATATGTATTCTGAAATAAGTATTGTGGGCAGTATATTTGTTCAGATTTATAAGAAAAATTATTTTTTAATTTGGCGAAACCAATTTATGCTCTTCTCGGCAGTGTGTTTCCATTGCTTGAAATTCTCACCAACACTTGATACTACTCAAAGCAATTTATAGATTTAATACAATCCCTATCAAAGTACCAGTGACATTCTGCACAGAAATAGAAAAAAACCCCTAAAATTTGTGTGGAACCACAAAAGATCCTGAATAGCCAAAGCAATCTGAGCAAAAAGAACAAAGCTGGAGTCAGAACACTGCCAGACCTCAAAATATACTACAAAGCTGTAGTAACCAAAACATCATGGTACTGGCATAAAAACAGGCACATAGATCAATATAAAAAAATAGAGAACCCAGAAATTCACGTATCTTTTAATTTTGAAAATCTGGTGGGTGTGAATTTTATCTCATAGTTTTAATTTGCCTTTCCTTGGCTACTAATAAGTTTGAGCATCTTTTCATAGGCTTAAAGGACTTTGGTATATCATTTCTTAATTATTTTTGAGACAGTCCCACTCTGTCACCCAGGCTGAAGTACAGTGGGGCGATCTCAACTCACTGCAACCTCCACCTCCTGAGTTGAAGCAATTCTATGCCTCAGCCTCCCAAGTAGCTGGGATTACAGGCATGCACCACCGTGCCCAGCTAATTTTTGTATTTTTAGTAGAGACGGGGTTTCACCATGTTGGCCAGGCTGGTCTTGAACTCCTGACCTCAAGTGATCCACCCACCTCGGCCTCCCAAATTGCTGGGATTACAGCTATGAGCCACTGTGCCTGGCCTGGTATATAATTTCTAATGAAATAACTGTTAACTTTTGCCCATTTTTCTAATGGGATTTCTGTCTTTTTCTTGTGGATTCATAAAATTTATATTATTTAAAAAAAGTCATATGTGTAGTTGCAAATATTGACATCTTTTGGTTTGTGGTTTGACTTCTAATGTTTTTATGTTGTTTTTTTGACAGCATAAAAGGGTTTATTTTAATGTAGTTGCATTTAGTCATTTTTATTTATCATTTTTACTTTTTTGGGTCTTTCAAAAATAATTATCTCCTACTCCAAGATGATAAAAATATTCTCCACTTTCTTCTAAAGCTTTTAAAGTTAAAAAAATCTTTAGTTATTGTGTACATTTGCATCATAGACTGATAAAATATAAACCATTCAAAATAATTTTTTAAATTGACAAATAATAATTGTACATACTCATGGGGTGCGTAGTGATGTTTTGATACATACAATGTATGGTGATCAGATCAGGGTAATTAGCATATCCATCATCACAAATAGTTATCATTTCTTTGTGTTGGGAACATTCAGTATTTTCCTTCTAGCTATTTGAAACTATGTAATATATTATTAACTCTAGTCATCCTACAGTACTATAGAACACTTGAACTTATTCTACCTATTGTAATTTTGTATCTTTTAACAAATCTCTCCCTATCCCTCCCTTTCCAGCTTCTAGTATTTTATCTTCTGTTTTTTCACTTCTGTATGAACATTTATTAGCTTCCACCTATGAGTGAGAACATGTGGTGTTAACTTTCTGTTTCTAGCTTATTTCACTTAACAGAATGTACCCCAGTTCCATCTTTGTTGCCTCAAACAACAAAATTTCATTCTTTTTTATGGTGGCATGGTATTCCATGGTGTAAAAATACCACATTTTCTTTTTTTTCTTTTTTTTTGAGACGGAGTCTCGCTCCATCGCCCAGGCTGGAGTGCAGTGGCATGACCTCGGCTTACTGCAACCTCTGCCTCTTGGTTTCAAGTATTCTCTTACCTCAGCCTCCTGAGTAGCTGGGATTACAGGTGCCCACCACCACACCTGGTTAATTTTTATATTTTTAGTAGAGACGGGGTTTCACCACGTTGGCCAGGCTGGTCTCGAACTCCTGACCTAAAGTGATCTGCCCACCTCAGCCTCCCAAAGTGCTGGGATTATAGGCAGGAGCCACCATGCCCAGCTTTAAATACCACATTTTCTTTATCCATTTATCTGTTGTTGGACACCTAGGTTGATTACATATCTTGGCTGTTGTGAATAGTGCTACAGTAAACATGGGGTATAGATGTCTCTTGAATATAATGATCTCCTTTTCGTTGGATAAATTCACAGTACTGGGATTGCTGGATCATATGGTAGTTCTATTTGTAGTTTTTTGAAGGACTTCCATACTGTTCCCCATAGCGGCTATACTAGTTTGCATTCCCACCAACAATGTGTAAGAATTTACTTTTCTCTTCATCCTCATCACCATTTGTTATTTTTTTGGCCACTTTCATAATAGTCATCCTAACTCTGGGGTGAGATGATATCCCATTGTGGCTCTGATTTGCATTTCCCTCATGATTAGTGATATTGAGCTTTTCACATATTTATTGACCATTTCTTTTGAGAAAATATCTGTTCAGATCATTAGCCCATTTTTAAATCAGATTGTTTAGTTTGCTGTTGAGATGTCTGAGTTCCTTGTATATTCTGGATATTAATCACCTGTTGGATAAGTAGTTTGCAAATATTTTCTCCTATTCTGTAAGTTGTCTTTTCACTCTGTTGTTTCCTTTTCTTTGCAGAAGCTTTTTAGTTTGATATATCCCATTTGTTTATTTTTGCTTTTGTTGCCTGTGCTTTAGAAGTCTTATTTATAAAACCTTTCCCTGACCAATGTCCTGACGGATTCTCCTAATGCTTTCTTCTAGTATTTTTATTGCTTCAGGTATACACATAGGTCTTTGATCCATTTTGAGGGTGAGAGGTGGGGGTCTGGTTCCATTCTTCTGCATATGGGTATCCAGTTTTCTCAGTACCATTTGTTGAACAGATTGTCCTTTCCTTAATGAGTGTTTTTGGCATCTTTGTCAAAAATCAGTTGGCTGTAGATATGTGGATTAATTTCTGGATTCTCTATTCTTTTATATTGATCTACATGCCTGTTTCTATGCATGTACCATGCTGTTTTGGTTACTACAGTTTTGTAGTATATTTTGAGGTCTGGCAGTGTTCTGACTCCAGCTTTGTACTTTTTGCTCAGAATTGCTTTGGCTGGTCAGGATCTTTTGTGGTTCCACACAATTTTTAGGTTTTTTTCTTCTATTTCTGTGAAGAATGTTACTGGTATTTTGATAGGAATTGTATTAAATCTATCAATTGCTTTGAGTAGTATTGTCATTTTAACAATATTCTTTCAATCCATGAGCATGGGTTGTTTTTCCATTTCTTTGTATCCTCTTCAGTGTTCGTATTTCTTTCGTCAGCGTTTTGCAGTTTTCCTTGTGAAGGTCTTCACCTCCTTAGTTATTTCACATTTTTTTAGCTATTAGAAATGGGATTGCCTTCTTGATTTCTTTAGTTCACTGTTGGTGTATAGAAATGATACTGATTTTTGTATAATTGTACCCTGCAACTTTACTGGATTTGTTTATCAATTCAAATAGTTTTTTTGGTAGAGTCTTTAGGTTTTTTTTCTTTTTTTTTAACTCTCTGTGTTCAGGGGTACGTGTGCAAGTTTATTACATAGGTAAATTTGTGCCATGGGTTTTTTTTTTTTTGTACAGATTATTTCATCACCCAGCTATTAAGCTGAGTACTCATTAGTTATTTTTCCTGATCTTTTCCCTCCTCCCACCCTCCACCCCGTGATAGGCCCCAGTGCATGTTGTTCCCTTCTATGCCTCCAGCTCCAACCATGTCCCTGCAAAGGACATGATATTGTTCTTTTTTATGGCTGCATAGTATTCCATGGTGTATATGTACCACATTTTCTTTATCCAGGCTATCATTGATGGGCATTTAGGTTGATTCCATGTTTTTGCTATTGTGAATAGTGTTGCAATGAACATACGCGAGTGTGTCTTTGTAACAGCACTATTTATATTCCTCTCAGTATATACCCAGTAATGGGATTGCTGGGTCAAATGGTATTTCTGTCTTTAGGTCTTTCAGGAATTGCCACACTGTCTTCTATAATGGTTGAACTAATTTACACTCTTACCAACAGTGTATAAGTGTTCCTTTTTCTCCACAACCTGGCCAGCATCTGTTATTTTTGGACTTTTTAATAACAGCCATTCTGACTGGTATGAGATAGGATCTCATTGTGGTTTTGATTTGCATTTCTCTAATGAGCAGTGATGCTGAGCTTTTTTTTCCCCACATGATTCTTGGCCACATGTATGTCTTCTTTTGGAAAGTCTGTTTATGTCCTTTGCCCATTACTTAATGAGATTGTTTATTTTTTTCCTTGTACATTTAAGTTCTTTGAGATGCTAGACATTAGACCTTTGTCAGATGCATAGTTTGCAAAAATTTTCTCCCATTTTGTAGGTTGTCTGTTTACTCTGTTGATAGTTTGTTTTGCTGTGCAGAAGCTCTTTAATTAGATCCCATTTGTCAATTTTGCTTTTGTTGCAATTGCTTTTGTCCTCTTCGTCATGAAGTCTTTGTCCATGCCTGTGTCCCAAATGGTATTGCCTAGATTGTCTTCCAGGATTTTTATAGTTTTGGGTTTTACATTTATGTCTTTAATCGATCTTGGGTTAATTTTTGTATGTGCTATAAAGAAGGGGTCCAGTTTTAGTCTTCTGCATGTGGCTAGCCGGTTACCCAGCACCATTTATTGAGGAGGGAATTATTTCCCCATTGCTTGTTTTTGCCAGGTGTGTTGAAGTTCATATAGTTGTACATGTGTGGCCTTATTTCTGGGTTCTCTATTCTGTTTTGTCAGTCTATGTGTCGGTTTCTGTATCAGTATCATGCTGTTTTGGTTACTATAGCCCTTTAGTGTTATTTGAAGTTGGGTAGCATGATGCCTCCAGCTTTGTTCTTTTTGCTTAGGATTGCCTTGGATATATGGGCTCTTCTTTGGTTCCATATGAATTTTAAAATAATTTTTTTCTAGTTCTGTGAAGAATGTCAATGGTAGTTTGATAGGAATAGCATTGAACCTATAAATTGCTTTGAGCAGTATGGCCATTTTCACAATATTGATTCTTCCCATCCATGAGCATGGAATGTTCTTCCATTTGTTTTGTATCATCTCTGGTTTCTTTGAGCAGTGGGTTGTAGTTATACTTGTAGCTATCTTTCACTTCCCTAGTTAGCTGCATTGCTAGGTATTTTATTCCTTTTGTGGCAGTTGTGAATGGTAATTTGTTGCTGATTTGGCTCTCAGCTTGACTGCTGTTGGCATATAGGTATGCTAGTGATTTTTGCACATTGATTTTGTATCCTGAGACTTTGCTGAAGTTGTTTATCAGCTTATGAAGCTTTTGGGCTGAGACGATGGCATTTTCTCAACATCGATAATGTTACCTATAAACGGGTAGTTTTACTTCTTCTCTTCCTATTTGGATACACTTTATTTCTTTCTCTTGCCTGATTGCCCCAGCCAGAACTTCCAATACTATGTTGAATAGGAGTGGTAAGAGAGGGCATCCTTATCTTGTACCAGTTTTCAAGAGGAATGCTTCCAGCATTCGCCTATTCAGTATGATGTTGGCTGTGGGTTTGTCATAGATGGCTTTTATTATTTTGAGGTATGTTCCTTTAATATCTAGTTTATTGAGAGTGTTTAACCATGAATGGATGCTGTATTTTATTGAAAGCTTTTTCTGCATCTATTGAGATAATCATGTGGTTTTTGTCTTTAGTTCTGTTTTTGTAATGAATTACATTTATTGATTTGCATATGTTGAGTCAACCTTGCATCCCAGGGATAAAGCCTACTTGATTGTGGTGGATAAGCTTTTTAGTGTGGTGGTGGATTCAGTTTGCCAGTATTTTGTTGAGTATTTTTGCATTGATGTGCACAAGGATATTGGCCTGAAGTTTTCTTTTGTTGTGTCTCTGCCAGGTTTTGGCATCAGGATGATGCTGGCCTCATAGAATGAATTAGGTAGGAATCTCTCCTTCTCAGTTTTTTGGAATAGTTTCAGTAGGAATGGTGCCAGCTCTTTTTTGTACATCTGGTAGAATTCAGCTGTGAATCCATCTGGTCCTGGGCTTTTTTTGGTTGGTAAGTTATTTATTACTGCCTCAATTTCAGAGCTTCTTATTGGTCTGTTCAGGAATTCAGTTCTTTTCCTGGTTCAGTCTTCGGAGGGTGTATGTGTCCTGGAAATGATAACTTTCTTCTAGATTTTCTAGTTTGACATATTAATAATATTCTCTGATGGTTGTTTGTAATTCTGTGGGGTCAGTGGTAATATCCCCCTTGTTTCTTATTGTGTTCATTTGAATCTTCTCTCTTTATTAGTCTAGTTAGTGGTCTATTTTATTAATTTTTTTTTAAACCAATTCCTGGATTCACTGACATTTCAAGTCTCTAATCCTTTCAGTTCAGCTCTGATTTTGTTTATTTCTTGTCTTCTGCTAGCTTTGGGATTGGTTTGTTCTTGGTTCTCTAGTTCTTTTACTTTTGATGTTAGGTTATTAACTTGAGATCTTTCTAACTTTTTGTTGTAGGTGTTTAGTGCTATAACTTTCCCTCTTAACATTGCCTTAGCCGTGTCCCAGAGACTGTGGTATGTTGTATTTTTATTCTGGTTAGTTTGAAAGAACTTGCTAATTTTTGCCTTAATTTCATCATTTACCCAAAAGTCATTCAGGAGCAGGTCATTCAATTTCCATGTAATTATATGGTTTTGAGTGAATTTCTTAGCCTTGATTAGTAATTTGATAGTGCTGTGGTCCAAGAGACTATGTTATGATTTCAGTTCTTTTGCATTTGCTGAGGAGTGTTTTCTGATTATGTGATCAATTTTAGAGTATGTGCCATGTGATGATGAGAAGAATGTATATTCTGTTGTTTTTGGGCGGAAAGTTCTGCAGACATCTATCAGGTCCATTTGATGTAGTGCTGAGTTCAGGTCCTAAATGTCTTTAATTTTCTGTCTAGATGATCTGTCTAATATTGTCGGTGGTGTGTTAAAGTCTCCCCTTATTGTGGGGGAGTCTAAGTCTCTCTGAAAGTCTCTAAGAACTTGTTTTATGAATCTGGGTGCTCCTGTGTTGGGTGCATATATATTTAGGACAGTTAGATTTTCTTGCTGAGTTGAATCCTTTACCATAATGTAATGCCCTTCATTGTCTTTTTTGAACTTCGTTGGTTTAAAGTCTGTTTTGTCAGAAATTAGGATTACAATCCCTGATTTTTTCTGTTTTGCATTTCCGTCCATCCACAGTTTTACAATGGAAGCATTGTATTGTCTATCCAGAGATCAGTACTGATAAACTCTCAATACTTGTCCTTCCACATCATTTTTTTCCTATAGTTCTTTATACACACATTTATGTTTTCCCCCAAATGAGCTTATACTATATATATATATATATATATATATATATATATATATATATATATATATATATATATATAATTTTGTAGTCTAAGATTCATTTTAGTTAAATGATCTCTATCCTTTCACATTACTAAATTTTCGTTCTTGTTTGATACCCAGACAGTAATCATATTTTACTAAGGTCCTTTATATCTGCTTTGGCCAAGCTGGTATCCAATCTAGGACTACACATTGGATCTAGTTGTTTTGTTCCTTAAGACTGTCTTATTTAGCACCATCCTTTTTTATGACACCAGCTTGTTGAAGGGACCAGGCCAGTTGTCTTACAGAACGTTCTATCACCTGGCTTCTTATAATGTCATTTAGCATATTCCTTTATCCCTTCTGTTTCTTATAAACTAAAAGTTAAATCAAAAACCTTCGTGGGCCAGGTGTGGTGGCTCATGCCTATAATCCCAGCACTTTGGAAGGCTAAGGCGAGTGGATGGCTTGAGTCCAGGAGTTTGAGACCAGCCTGGGCAAGATGGCAAAACCCCATCTCTACAGAAAATACAAAAATTAGCCAGGGTGGTAGTGCGTGCCAGTAGTGCCAGCTACTCAGGAGGCTGAGATGGGTGAATCACTTGAGCCCAGGAGGTCAAGGCTGTGGTGAGCTATGATCGCACCACTGCACTCTAGCAGCCTGGGCAACAGAGTGAGACTCTGTCCCTCGCTTCCCCTCCGCACCCACCTCGCTCCGGCAAAAGACAAAGCTTCATAGATTAAAGAGGTTAATTATTTTTAGCTACAATACCTATCATATCACCTATGAAGTCATAAGATGATACTTAAACTTTTCCCCAATTCTTATGAGAAATTTTAAATATCTAGAATGTTTGAAGGAATTATATAACAAACACAATGGATCTACCATGTAGATCCAACAGTTGTTAATTTTTGCCCCCGAGTAACATTCTCCTACCTAACTACAATTACATATCACACTTGATAATAGTACTTTTCTAATATCTAATATCTAGTCTGTCTTCACATTTTCCTAGTTGTCTCCAAATATATTTTAAAGCTATTTTGTCAACCCAGAATCAGCCAAATGCGTCATTTGGTTTCATGTCTATTAGTCTACTTCGATCTAGAATAGTTCAACCATGTTTTAAAATGATATGACTTTTTGAGGAGTCCAGACTTATTGTCTTATAGAATGTCCCACACACTGGATTTGACTTTTTAAAATTGCGTTATTCTTAAATTTGTTCTTCTATCCCATCTGTTTCTGTAAACTGAAAGTTAGATCTAGATCCTCTAGAGTCCTGATTTAATAAAACAATTTTTTTTTTTGCAAAAATAACTTCATATAGAATGCCGTATGCTTCATATTGTATCTGTGGGATGCGTATAATGTCAGGTGGTCCCCCCTGTTTGCATTGCTAAGTCAAATCACTTGCGTATGGTGGTGGTGCCAGATCTCTCCCTTGTAAAGGTACATTTATCCCTTTGCAATTAGCAAGCAACATGTGAGGTGTTAATTCAGTGCTATCTGAATATCTTCTTCCCCAATAACCTGGAAAATAGTGAATAGTTTTAGCATTTTTTGGTGAAACTTGCTTGAATCAGTTTTTTGAGTGGGAGTTTGAAATGCTGATTTTCCAAATCTATCATTATGCTTGCATTTGATAGGTGGCATTCTTCTGTAAAGAAGACTTTTCCATCATAAACTGGAGCTGAATACAGTTTATCATAAAAAGCCAGGGCAAATGTGTAATCGTTCCTCTTTAAACATCATTTTATAGAATAAGGAGTTCAGTGAAATATTTTCCTTCAATAGTAGTGTCAAATAATTTTATATTTTACAATTCAATGTAGTAATTTTCCTTTTGGATGCTAAAATTGTCCCAAATTTGGTCAAGCTAGCTTCTGTGTTCTCTTGATGAGCCTTTATTTGCCTCTGTTTCCTTAGTTTCTGGAACTGAAAGATATCCCAGTGCTTACCTTATATTTTCCTTAGCCCTGTATTGGAATCAGCCAAATCTTCAAAGCAGCCTTGATTCCTTTTAGTGGGGGAATTATATTTAGGAGCCAAGATCCGAGTCTGTCCATTACTACAGGGTTGTTATTGTTCGGAGGCCTGAACATTTCCAGTGAGTAGACCTGGGGAATATGGTTTTATAAAAACATGAGTTTTATAAAATGTGAGTTCATACTGAGATTTTAAATTCAGATTTAACATTACTATGTTTTTTCTTAGCAACTTTGATTTTATACTTGTGCCTTTTCTCTACATTAATGAAGATCATAGTTTCTAATTACATGAGCGTATTATTTGTGGTGACACTATGAGTAGTTTCAAAATTATAATGCTCAACATTTTGACAAAAAATCACTGAATGACAGTTAAGAATCATTTCAGTTCTTTTTTCTCTTAGGGTGGAGGTATACTGAGTGCTCTGTATTCAAAAGCCATTTGAAATAATGCTTTTTAATGTGTGTTCATATTACTGATTTGATATTTGGTTAAATTCTTCTAATTTTGAATTTGCTTTTTGTCTTTTTGATTTATCAGTCCTATTTTTTATATTTACAAGTTCTCTTTGATGCTTTTGTATCTGTGAGGTCTTATAGTTTCTTTTCCTTGCATATTCTTTCAAGTTTACTTATGTTTTCAAACATGATAAACATATTTATCTTACATTCTATAGCTGGTAATTCTACATCTGCAATCTTTGTTAGTCTGATTATCCATTTTACTTCTGTCAGTTCTCACCCATATTTTGGGATGTTTGATTGTGAGCCCATGTTAATTGCTGCTTTGTCCTTGGGAATTCTTTGGTGTCTGTGTTTGGAATACATTCATCCAGAGAATATTTAGGTTTATTTCTGCCAGGTGCTTGGAGTTGTTACCAACGTGGTGCTGCTTAAATTTCTGGCTTGGGGTTTTGAGGGGACACACAGGCAATGGGAATTTTGGGCTTTGGAAATCTGGATTTATGTGGGCTGTCACTCTAACCTCCTATGTGTATGGGCTCCCAGGACTGCCACCTGTCCCCACATGTGGCTTGTGAAAAGCAAAGCCTAGGTCTTTGCAGCCTGGCAGGTTCTACCAGGGTAAAGACATGCACGACCGCTCGCCCATTTTTCTGCTCTTGCTTTATATATATATTTTTGGTCTCCAAGGACTTTTCCAAACAGCTCAAGTATATATTTGAAAAAGATGCTTTCACATATTTCATTTAGCATTTCTTAGGTGTTCTCCATTGGCATGATTTTCAAGATGGGACAGTCTGTTATATTG
Organism: Homo sapiens; assembly: GCF_000001405.40. Classification (NCBI taxonomy): domain Eukaryota; kingdom Metazoa; phylum Chordata; class Mammalia; order Primates; family Hominidae; genus Homo; species Homo sapiens. The sequence continues at coordinate 210,431,556 of NC_000001.11, forward strand.
CCAGAAATGGAAATTCCACTATACCTGTTTTTAAGAAGGAAGAAATCTCACAAGAAGCATCTCCAGCAGCTTCCCCCTTTATGTACCTTGTGGCCATAACTGCATCATCTGGGTCATATGGCCATATTATAATCATCCCATGATTAGTTGTAACCAGGAATTTCTTCCAGGTTACTATGGGGAAGAGGTTGGACACGGGAATGAAATTCCCTTTCCAATGGCAAGGACTGGGGGAAGAGAGTTGTTTGGGAGGCAGCCAGTACTTTGTATTAGAGCAACTACTTCTGAATACAAAGTAGCAGTGTAGTGTTTCAAATTGGAAAATTTGAAAAGTAGTATAATAGGCAGCCAAGAAAATAGAAGATTTAAATGTTATAATTGTTTTATTCGACTCTTAAAACAATTAATTTGAGGCTTATGATTTGTAGAGTGACCAAATATCCCATTTTGCAGTCCTATTCTATATCTGTTTTCCTGATATCATTATTAATAGTTTCTTTCATTCTCAAAAGTGTCCCTGAAAAGTGAGCATCCATGGATTTTGGTATCTGTAGGGGTTCTGGGAACCAATTTCCCAGGGATGCGACTGGAGCTCAGGAGTGAGATTGGCAATGGAGACAGGTACGTGGGAACTGTTGCACACATGTGATAACTGAGGCCACAGGAGTAAAAGGACTTCCTTGAAAAATGTGTAGAATGAGAATAAAGGAGGGCCAAGTATAGAACTTTAGAGAATGTTAAAATTTAAGAGGTGAGCCGGAAAAGGAGTCAGTAACGAATGAGAAGGAATGTTAATAAACAAAGGAGGAAGCCAGTGGTTTTGTGAAGGTTGCAAGAAGAAAGCTCAATTTATCAGAGGTTGAAAAGAGGCTGCGTAAGAGGGGATTTAAGAGAGTCTTTCATTTTGGCAAATGGGAGGTCATAATTGACTTTGGTCATGGTTGACGTTGTTCATTTTGGGGGACTAAAGACCAGGGCTACAGAATAAATCAAAGGTGAAAAAATAGAGGCAGAAGCTAATATGCTGCTTTAGTTGTGTTAAATGATGACTTAACTGCCACGTAGTCTTAGATGGCCTTGCTATCACATAGCCCAGTGGGTCCTGACTGCATCTTTTTACCTTCTGGTGGACCTGCCATTTCCAGGCTGCTCCTCAGGGTCTCCGTCTCTCCAGGCTGCCATGATGTGGAGTATAGCATGGCAAACATCCCCTTTCTTTCCAGCACATGGGCACCTTCAGCTTCAAGGTTTTGGTGCTAATCCTTCTTGAGATGTTTCAGAAAGATAAAATAAGCATAAGGGGGTTATAAGGTTTGCAGAAGGCATGTGAGCTTTGGGCCCTGGTGGCAGCCTCTGATTTCCTTCTGAACTAATACAGAGATACTGTAATTTTTTTATTCTGTCACTTTTAACCTCTCGATGGCAGGGCTCTCATTCCACTAAGGCCCTTTTTTCCATCCAAAAGTTGCGGTTAAGTGTGAGACAGCAGCACAGACAGTAAAAGATGTCTCTTTGTCTTACATGGAAGAAGATATACAACAGATCCTTCATCTCTAAATCTCAGGACTGGGTAACATTCTACCCTGTCCAGGAATGACCCCCTCTGAACACCCCAAGCTGAGTGAGAGCTGCTTTAGAGATGCGCCTATACCACTGCCTCTGGGGTCTTTCTCCTGCAGCACTCACAGCGCAGGTGCTTAATGAGTACTTCACTTGCAGGTTCAGGTGAAGTAAAATTTCACAGGGACTCTGCCTGGCAGTTGACATCAGATTGGTGTTAGTGTGAGCAGCCAGATATCCAGATGAGTGATTGATACAAGATTTTGCATAAGGCAGCAAAGGGAAATCATGCGTCGTACATTATTGCTCCAAAAAGGGATCGCTGCAAGTTAACAGAAATAGAGAATATAAATAGAGGTTGTTTCTCGTGGGATTGATTTGATGTGGTTAATCAAAGGAGAGAAATATTCACATACTCCATGGAAGGTGTTTAATCCTCTCCTGGTGGGGGTGGAAAAAAAACAGTGGTGGCTGCTTGTCTGTCAGGGCTCCGTTGCTACTCCCTGGGATTGAGAGGACATTGGGAGCTCCATGGCAACAGGGTGACATTTGTTTTTCTTTCATTTCCCTTAATCCTCTCCTGGAGATATCAAACTAAAATTTTCTTCCCATTTATTTTTCTCTCTTTTCAGGGTGATGTTGATGATGATTATTAATTTTAACCTTCTCCTTCAATTTCTAGTGAGAGTTAGAGCTGCTGTAATCAGGCTCTCAGGTGGAGGCCAGGCTCCAGGAAGATCTTCCTGAGCACTGCCTGGGCAGGGCATTGGGCTGTGGATGTTGTCCACACCAGCGTTGTACCAGTCTACATGGGGTTACCTCTGCCCCCACTGTGGCTGGCCCAGCACCTGCATTAGACATATCTTACTGGAAGGATAGAACTTTAGAGAACACTGATATTTGACAGGTAGATAGAAAAAGAGGGCTATCAATGAATCAGAAGGAATATTAATTAATGAGGAAGTAAACAAGTGTCTTGTGAAGGTTTAAAAAAGAAGAAGGTACACAATTTATCAGAAGTTGAAGAGAGGCCAATAAGAGGGGAATGAAGAAAGTCTGTTTCAGTTTTGGCAAATGAGTCGTGATTGACTTTGGTCATGGTTGCCACTGTTCATTCGGGGGAATATAGACCAGGGTTGAATAATAATCAGACGTGAGAAAATGGACATAGTTTGGGGGAAATTTTAAATGTTTCTGCTTTCAGTAACTAAAAGCAATCAGAAACTAGTGGGAAATGTGATAGTGATTATAGCTTTCTGAAGGCCAGTGGGAGGCTGAATTCTCTTAATATGCAGGAATGTTCAGGAAGAGGGTACTGAGCAGCTCCTTTCCATGTCGGCCGAGTTCAAACAAGGTTTAAGTTTAAGCAAGGAAATGTTATTAGATATAGTCCTCAAGGGGTATACCACAGACTGGACACCTTCAGGAAGACACACACTATCTCTTATACAGCTGAAAATACACACATCTCTTTCCCCAAGTAACTATTCAAGTCCAGGCTCTCAGTGGGCTCAAGGGAGTGTCCACATCTCCTGGAATTTGGCCATAATGTTAATATCCTACAACTGTGGGCTCAGTTGTAGAGTTAGCTACCATTGACACCTTTATATTAAATAGAAGGGGAAAGAGATGGGAATGAAGAGAAATACTAGCTAAAATTTACATGTAAATGCATTACACAGCAAATAAGAAAATACAGGTAATCGTTTAGAGCTAATTTTTATGTTTTTCATTAAGAAAACTTTTTAACTTGTAAAACTGATATATGATGTACATATTTTGGGGGTATATGTGGTAATTTGATACATTCATATAATCAGAGTAATTGAGATCTCCATTACCTTATTTACCTTTTTAAATACTAGGAACATTTGAATTATTTTCTTGCTGTTTTGAAACATACAATCAATTAATGTTAACTATAGTTACCCTGTTGATCTATTGAACAGCAGGTCTTCTGTCTTCTAAGTGTATATGTGTACCCATTAATCAACCTCTTTTCATCCTCCCCTCCTGCTTTCCCTTCCCAGCCTCTGGTAAATCACCAATCTACTCTATCTTGATGAGATTCACTTTTATATCTCTGACATGTGAGTGAGAACATGCAATGTTTATCTTTTTGTGCTTGGCTTAGTTCACTTAACATAATGACCTCCAATTCCATTCATGTTTCTATAAATGACAGAATTTCATTCTTTTTTATGGCTGAATAATATTCCACTGTCTATATATTTCAATTTTTTAACTCCATTCATTAATGGACATTTAGGTTGATTGCATATTTTGGTTATTGTGAATAATGCTGCAATAAACATGGGGAGTACAGATATTGCTTTGACATGTTGATTTCCTTTCCATGGGGTGTGTATCCAGTAGTGGAATTGCTGGATCATATGGTGGTTCTATTTTTGTTTTTTGGGGGCAGTTTTTATACTGTTTTTCATAGTGGCTGTAGTAGTTTACATTCCCACCAACAGTGTATGAGGTTTCTCCTTTCTTTACATCTTCACCAGCATCTGTTATTTTTTTGATAAAAGCCATCCTAACTGGGGTGAGACGATATCTCATTGTGGCTTTGATTTGCATTTCTGTAATGATTAGTTATGTTGAACACTTTTTCGTATATTTTTTGGCCATTTGTATGTCATTTTTTGAGAAATGTCTTTTAGATCTTTTGTCCATTTTTAAATGGGATTCTTTCTTTTTTTTGCTGTCGAGTTGTTTGAGCTCCTTGTATATTCTGGTTATTAATCTTTTGTTAGATAGTCTGTAAATATTTTCTCCCATTCTGTGGGATGTCTCTTCACTTTGTTGATTGTTTCTTTTGCTGTGCAGAAACTTTTTAGCTTGATACAATCCATTTATCTATTTTTCCTTTTGTTGCCTGTGGTTTTGAGGCCTTGCCTAGAATCTTTGCCCAGACCAGTGTCCTGGAGTATTTTCCCAGTGTTTTCCTCTAGCAGTTTCATAGTTGCAGGTCTTGGATGTAAGTCTTTAGTGTGGTTTGAATTAATTTTTGTATATGGTGAGAGATAGAGGTCTAATTTGGTTCTTCTGCATGTGGTTATCCAGTTTTCCCAGCACCATTTATTGAAGAGAGTGCCCTTTGCCTATTGTATGTTCTTGGCACCCTTGCTGAAAATGAGTTCACTGTGTATGCATGGATTTATATCTGGGTTCTCTATCCTATTGCATTGATCTGTATGTCTTTTTTTTTTAATGCCAGTACCATGATTGATTTGGTTTCTGTAGCTTTGCAGTATATTTTGAAGTCAGATAGTGTGATGCCTTCAACTTCGTTCTTTTTGCTCAGGGTTGCTTTGGCTATTCGGGGTCTTTTGTAGTTCCATATGAGTTTTGGGATTGTTTTTTCTATTTCTGTGAAGACCGTCATTGGTATTTTGATGGGGATAGAGCAGTTTCTGTGCCTGATCAGGGGGTTTGTGACTCTCCCCTTCATTCTGTGTTCTTTTTGTCTTCGGTTAGTACTTCTGCTGTTGGGGTTCTTAACTCTGGTGTGATCCAAATTTTGATTCTTCACAGGTCTAAGCCATTGCAAGTCCTGCTGTTGTCTTCCATTAACCAGTAGACATGGCAATACTAGGTGATACCCCACAAAATCCCCTAAGTTTCATTTATATTCCTCCTGCCTCCATTGTGTAGGAGTAACTCAATTTCCCTTTGGCAGTAAGGGTTAGGCCTCTCAGCTTGTACTATAACTCCTCTTTCACTTGTTCTCCTAGTTCCATGAGGAACCCCAAATGGCTGGGTGATAGTAGGTTGTTTTGATTTGATAGAATCATTGTTTCATCCCCTGGTGGAAGCACTTCTTTGCTGTGTGGTAAGACCTCTAACCAAGCACATCACAGAGTTTCAGGGATGGGAAGAAGATATCTTAGGAGTAGGTTAAGAGGTGTAATAGTGAGGTACCACTCCCTCTTCCACTCTTTGAATACTGACTCTACATATTTAGGTTATGGGTAAGAGCACCATATGGAGTTTGCTGGCTCAGAGCACATTCTGTATCCCGTGGGATAGAATCTCAACATCACATGATGATGTATATGGGAACCTTTGATAGACTATTCTGTAAGGCTAACTGCTTTTGAATGATGGGATAAGACTAGTGAATCCCATAGCCCATCGTCTGACTTCATTTGCTACAAAGTGAGGTCATTAGACAAAAGTGATGTTATGTCTGATAACATGACAGTGACTAAGATGGTCAGTATGTCCATGGATGGTGAAACTGGCAGACACGTTGGTGAATTTGGAAAGCAGATTCACATCGAGAATAAGGGACGACTCTCTGGCCCCTCCAAAACAGAAGAGGTCTAGTGTAATCAGCCTGATACCAGAATATGGAAGGTCATAGAAAACCGGCAAATTAGGGACTCAGCTGTGCTAGTAGCCAGGTTAATCTTGGTGAGAGGCTGTCCACATTGTTGATCCTGTGCAAAGCTTTCATTGCTGCCATTGCAGCTACTTTGGTGATGAGCCCATTAGGACGGCTGTGGAAAGAGGCTGGCTGATGTGCACAGGCCATGCTACCTTGTTATTTAGACTGCCGGGCCCTTTTGTTGAGTATTTACATGGGTCACAAATATCTCCCCTGGGCTCATTTTGAGGTGTTCATTTATATGCCTCTTTCCTGATTTTAAACGTCTCCTTATTAACATTTATCCAATTGAATTCCTTCCACAATCCTAACTATCCCAGGAAACTATTGGACACTCCCATGAATCAGTTTTAGATTCTTACAGACAAATTGGCCAATGGCATGTACCACTTGAAATTCCACCCACTGTGAGGCTTTTTCCTTGTTTGCTGTCCTTTGGGGCCATCTCACATATAAGGTTGCAGCTGTTCATTTCCAGCAGATTCCATCATATCTTGGGCAGTCATCAGTGAACAGAGCTGTTTCCCCTCCTCTACCAAGTCCTCTTGGGGCCTTAGGTGTGGGATGAGAGAAGGATAGCCACATAGCAGGAGTCAGCATATTGGGAGGAGGAGTTCTCTTTTCCTGCAACTTAATTGTGACCTCAGGATTCTCCGTGTTTGTGTGTGTGTGTGTGTGTGTATACACATGTGTATGTATCCATTGATAATGGAATGCTTCCTGATATTGTGGCTAGGTGGATCAGATAACTCTAGTTGATAATGGACCACTCAGGTAACATGGTTCTTTGGTGTCCTGTGGTCAGGGATAGCTCACCTGGTGAATGAATTAGAGTGGCCTGCACAGTTACATACATATCACCTCCAAATTCCGAAGAGGTCTACCAAAGCTGTGCCTCTTTCTTATGGATGAGTGGCATAAGGTAGACCAACTTGTCCTTTACTTGTGTCTTGAACTCCCAGAAACTGCTCTGAAGTGATATACCCACATATATATATGTATGTTTATTTCTGATATGCTCATACTTATTAAGGCATCTGGTATACCTGCCACTCCTAATTTTGTAGGTCCTATTGGCATGCTCTGTTCATGATTTTTCTTACGGTTATTTGGCTGTTTTAGGGTCTTTAGGTCTGTGAACTGACTCAGGTCTGGAAATTGGGTAAATGATCATGGTGGCTTAAGTTAAGCCTTGTTCACTAAAACTAGATTATTTGCCAGTTATATAATGACAATAAAAATAACCGTAGTGGAAATGATAGCTAGCATATATTGAGCACTTAATCTGTGCCAAACACTGCTTTAAGAGCTTTATATTAGCCTATGTAATTCTCACAGCAGCCCTATGAGCAGATAGAATCGTATCGCTATTTTACAGTGAGGAAATGGAGACACAGAGAGGTTCAACTTGAGTATCTGTCTGTCTAAGGTCTATGGACCTCATGATCAGTTGCCCTTCTCCAAACATCCCAGTGAATCAGAGCATCTGACCGCCAGGAAGGCCATGTGGCTTACTGTGGTCATCATGCACACGTCACCTTGGGGTTAAGTGGCATTATTTAGTCTATTACTTAAGGGGTTTGGTGTCCGCATTGAAATAAAGAATTTCGTTGTCTCTTAACAGCATCCTCAGCCCACAGAGAATGGCCTTGGCAACACATTTCTGAGACGCTTGTGCTCCCCTCACTAATGTATTTATTTCTCAAATTCTCAGTGAAGGGAGTGTCTTCTGAGCTCTCTTGGGGGCATAATTAGGGAGTGGGCTAGCAGGTCACACATGATAAATCCACTCAGACATTCTTATCTCCTGAAATCATTTTATTACTTCCTCTCTTGACTTCCCAAAGAATTTCTGGCATCTCAGCCCCATACATATGGGCAGCTGTGGTGTCTGGGTTTCCAAACTCATACAGTCAGCTCCACTCCCAGCTGCTGCAGCTGGCATGTGGAATCCTGACTTGCTGGTAAGTGTGCTCATATTGATCATTCCACCCCATCTATTTAGTCTTCTTCCCTCCATCTAGATTCCTTAGAATCCCACATATATAGGTCAGAGTTTTGCTAATGTAAAGTAGAAAAACCTTGTGGTTCTTTTGGAGTGAAAGCCTTGTAATAGGCCCCTTGGGGCATGCTGGGGCTCATTTCTAGACAGTGAGGCGTGATGAGCAGGAGAGATGAAGAAAATCTGCTTCTCTTGCAAAGTAATTCCTTCATGAGACTTCATTAAAAGGGTCTTCAGGTAAGGCCAGATCAGCCTCATCTGAAAGCCTTACACAGGGAGAAAGGGGCTGTCGCTGCTGACAAGTGATGTTCCCTGAGGTTTGGGGACTTGGGCTTTTCTTAATCACCTTAAATCTCTGTTTTAGTTTTTAGGAGTTTCACTCTTTGTAGATTGGTAGCCCAGTCTATAGATACCTTGCAAGGGTGAGAATTCAGCTGACATTGTAATTTAATAAAGCTAAGGATAAAACTTCTGGGGTTTTTTGTTTATTGAGCCCGCTGACTAGAAGAGATAAGAGATGGTTTTTAGCAGAGGCCAAGAAGGTCCCTGGGTTTCAGTCCATACCCTAAGCTGAGAATTTAGGAATTGGAGCCTGTCATTCTCCTCTTACTCTCATTCTTTACGCTCTGCTTGGCAGCCTACACCATATTTCTTGGAATTAAAGACATCATGCCCTTAGTAGTTGTAAGTTGGGTTCCCCAGGGAGGCTAGTTTGTAGGTGTTTATTAGGGTGTTCTCTTGAGATTAATTCCTGTAGGAGGAAAGGGGTGGAAGGAGGGCCTGACAGAGGGAGGAGCCAACTGTGACGCAGTCTTCATGGAAGCTCCAGTCGATTCTGTAGGGAGTTCTGCAGGTTGGGTAATTCTTTGGAGTGGTCCCAAGCAGAGTGAGGAGGCTAAGCCTTTCTACCCCCATGGCAATCAGTCCTTGGATGTAGCCCACCCCAGAAAGGCTTGGGTGAGGTAGCTTTCCTGAGTGGACGCAATCCCCAGTGGAGGTAATCCCCAGCTGAGAGTTTCTGCTGGTCACTTCCCATCAGCTGGGACAGTGAGTCCTTCATTGCCTAAGGAAATCTGGGCAGTGCATCCTAGTATTCCCCATAATAGTGTTTTGTGGAATTGTCTACTCGGTCACCCAGTCTTGGCTTCAGTGGTTGCTTCTTTCCAGGTGACTCCAGACAGTAATTTGATGAACAATTTCAACACTGTGTACCTGGAGCTTCCAGACTCTCACTGTTGATTAGTAGCTGGATTTTCACTGCCTTGAGCTCCAAAGCATCAAGACAGCCAAATCTAGGTTCCCTAGTTTTTCCTGAGTGTCTGATGCTGACGGGTACTGAGTATCAGTTTCTTGAACCTATCAGTTTCTTCTTTGGAAGTAGGAGAAACCAACTTTGGATGATTTATGCAGAAAATAAGATTCATTAAAAGGAAAATGAGTAGCTCATAGAATCACAGGGCTCTGAACTCAGAGGACTGAATCCAGGCTATGCAGCCAGGACTCAAACCCCACAATATGCCACAGTTTGTGAGGATGCCACCCCCTCCTAGTGTAACTTGAACTAGCCACTGCGTGCTGCCACTAATGTCACTGCCACTAGAGTGTGCTTGTCCAGTGGACAGGGCCTATTCAAAGTGCAGAGGAACCTGCAGGGACTGTGTGATGTGGATGGAGGGTAAGGAATGAGGAACAGGAGAGGGACTGTGGTCAAGTTTCACAAATGCCCATGTTGATTTTAGACAGCAGCAGCTTGTTGAATGGCTTGAGAATCTGAGTTGCAAATGAGGCCTCATGGGAGTTACATAGGAAATCTGAAGCCTGCTGGGCCCAGAGGGACAGAAAACTCAGTAATTTTTTTTATAGAGGTGCTGGTCTGAATGTCAAGTGTCTTTGCCAAAAGAGACCTTGCTCGCTTTTCCAATCAATCTTTCTCTGCACCCTCTGGCTGTCAAGTAGTTACCTAAGTGAGTTTTTTGGTGGTTATTCTACAAATATGATAATTTTTCAAATTATTTGCATTTTAATGTCAGTGAAAGTCAAGCTTGTCTTTAGATTTTGACAAGGATAGCCCTATGGCTCACCAAAGATATTAGTTCAAATTGTTCTTTTTAATAGTATAGTGATAATAGTAATATATTTTCGTCACCATGAAAGTGGAAATGATTGGTAGTTGGAAAAAGTATTTGTTCATTGACATCTTCTCCAATTTGTAATTAAGAGCAACAAATAATCTGCTAGACATTTTAACACACAATAAATATATATATAAACAGATATACACGTAAACATGTGTATATGTATATATATGTACACACACATATATACACACACACACACTTTTTTTTTATTATACTTTAAGTTTTAGGGTACATGTGCACATTGTGCAGGTTAGTTACATATGTATACATGTGCCATGCTGGTGTGCTGAACCCACTAACTTGTCATCTAGCATTAGGTATATCTCCCGGTGCTATCCCTCCCCCCTCCCCCCACCCCACAACAGTCCCCAGAGTGTGATATTCCCCTTCCTGTGTCCATGTGATCTCATTGTTCAGTTCCCACCTACGAGTGAGAATATGCAGTGTTTGGTTTTTTGTTCTTGCGATAGTTTACTGAGAATGATGATTTCCAATTTCATCCATGTCCCTACAAAGGACATGAACTCATCATTTTTTATGGCTGCATAGTATTCCATGGTGTATATGTGCCACATTTTCTTAATCCAGTCTATCATTGTTGGACATTTGGGTTGGTTCCAAGTCTTTGCTATTGTGAATAATGCCGCAGTAAACATACGTGTGCATGTGTCTTTATAGCAGCATGATTTATAGTCCTTTGGGTATATACCCAGTAATGGGATGGCTGGGTCAAATGGTATTTCCAGTTCTAGATCCCTGAGGAATCGCCACACTGACTTCCACAATGGTTGAACTAGTTTACAGTCCCACCAACAGTGTAAAAGTGTTCCTATTTCTCCACATCCTGTCCAGCAGCTGTTGTTTCCTGACTTTTTAATGATTGCCATTCTAACTGGTGTGAGATGGTATCTCATTGTGGTTTTGATTTGCATTTCTCTGATGGCCAGTGATGATGAGCATTTTTTCATGTGTTTTTCGGCTGCATAGATGTCTTCTTTTGAGAAATGTCTGTTCATGTCCTTTGCCCACTTTTTGATGGGGTTGTTTGTTTCTTTCTTGTAAATTTGTTTGAGTTCATTGTAGATTCTGGATATTAGCCCTTTGTCAGATGAGTAGGTTGCGAAAATTTTCTCCCATTTTGTAGGCTGCCTGTTCACTCTGATGGTAGTTTCTTTTGCTGTGCAGAAGCTGTTTAGTTTAATTAGATCCCATTTGTCAATTTTGGCTTTTGTTGCCATTGCTTTTGGTGTTTTAGACATGAAGTCCTTGCCCATGCCTATGTCCTGAATGGTAATGCCTAGGTTTTCTTCTAGGGTTTTTATGGTTTTAGGTCTAACATTTAAGTCTTTAATCCATCTTGAATTGATTTTTGTATAAGGAAGGGATCCAGTTTCAGCTTCCTACATATGGCTAGCCAGTTTTCCCAGCACCATTTATTAAACAGGGAATCCTTTCCCCATTGCTTGTTTTTCTCAGGTTTGTCAAAGATCAGATAGTTGTAGATATGTGGCGTTATTTCTGAGGGCTCTGTTCTGTTCCATTGATCTATATCTCTGTTTTGGTACCAGTACCATGCTGTTTTGGTTACTGTAGCCTTGTAGTATAGTTTGAGGTCAGGTAGTGTGATGCCTCCAGCTTTGTTCTTTTGGCTTAGGATTGACTTGGCGATGCGGGCTCTTTTTTGGTTCCTTATGAACTTTAAAGTAGTTTTTTCCAATTCTGTGAGGAAAGTCATTGGTAGCTTGATGGGGATGGCATTGAATCTGTAAATTACCTTGGGCAGTATGGCCATTTTCATGATATGGATTCTTCCTACCCATGAGCATGGAATGTTCTTCCATTTGTTTGTATCCTCTTTTATTTCCTTGAGCAGTGGTTTGTAGTTCTCCTTGAAGAGGTCCTTCACATCCCTTGTAAGTTGGATTCCTAGGTATTTTATTCTCTTTGAAGCAATTGTGAATGGGAGTTCACTCATGATTTGGCTCTCTGTTTGTCTGTTGTTGGTGTATAAGAACGCTTGTGATTTTTGTACATTGATTTTGTATCCTGAGACTTTGCTGAAGTTGCTTATCAGCTTAAGGAGATTTTGGGCTGAGACAGTGGGGTTTTCTAGATATACAATCATGTCGTCTGCAAACAGGGACAATTTGACTTCCTCTTTTCCTAATTGAATACCCTTTATTTCCTTCTCCTGCCTAATTGCCCTGGCCAGAACTTCCAACACTATGTTGAATAGGAGTGGTGAGAGAGGGCATCCCTGTCTTGTGCCAGTTTTCAAAGGGAATGCTTCCAGTTTTTGCCCATTCAGTATGATATTGGCTGTGGGTTTGTCATAGATAGCTCTTATTATTTTGAAATACGTCCCATCAATACCTAATTTATTGAGAGTTTTTAGCATGAAGGGTTGTTGAATTTTGTCAAAGGCTTTTTCTGCATCTATTGAGATAATCATGTGGTTTTTGTCTTTGGCTCTGTTTATATGCTGGATTACATTTATTGATTTGCGTATATTGAACCAGCCTTGCATCCCAGGGATGAAGCCCACTTGATCATGGTGGATAAGCTTTTTGATGTGCTGCTGGATTCGTTTTGCCAGTATTTTATTGAGGATTTTTGCATCAATGTTCATCAAGGATATTGGTCTAAAATTCTCTTTTTTTGTTGTGTCTCTGCCTCGCTTTGGTATCAGAATGATGCTGGCCTCATAAAATGAGTTAAGGAGGATTCCCTCTTTTTCTATTGATTGGAATAGTTTCAGAAGGAATGGTACCAGTTCCTCCTTGTACCTCTGGTAGAATTCGGCTGTGAAGCCATCTGGTCCTGGACTCTTTTTGGTTGGTAAGCTATTGATTATTGCCACAATTTCAGCTCCTGTTATTGGTCTATTCAGAGATTCAACTTCTTCCTGGTTTAGTCTTGGGAGAGTGTATGTGTCCAGGAATTTATCCATTTCTTCTAGATTTTCTAGTTTAATTGCGTAGAGGTGTTTGTAGTATTCTCTGATGGTAGTTTGTATTTCTGCACACACACACATTTTTAAATAGAGACTGGGTGTCACTATTTTGCCCAGGCTGGCCTCAAACTCCTGGATTTGAGCAATCCTTCCACCTCAGCCTCCCAAAGTGCTGAGTTTACAGACGTGAACCACCATGCCCAGCCGATATATAACACACAAATGAGGTTTTTTTGTTTTTCTTTCTCCTGAGACAGAGTCTCACTCTGTTGCCCAGGCTGGAGTGCAGTGGCACGATCTCGGCTCACTGCAACCTCCGTCTCCTGGGTTCAAGCGATTCTCCTGCCTTAGCCTCCTGAGTAGATGGGATTACAGGTATGCACCATCACACCCAGCTAATTTTTGTATTTTTAGTAGAGACGGGGTTTCACCATGTTGGTCAGGCTGGTCTTGAACTCCTGACTGTGTGATCTGCCTGACTCGGCCTCCCAAAGTGCTGGGATTACAGGCATGAGCTACTGTGCCCAACCAACACACAAACGAGTTTCAAACAGTGGTCACTTGTTGACTAGTGAGCATAATAGTGCGGAGAATATAAAATAGAATTGTGCTAGTATCTCTCCCTAGCCCCCTCTGCCTTTACTATTTGCCTTCTGCATTTTGTCCAGATAATCTACAAGGATTTGCAAGCCCTATGTTCTTTACAGACTATTTTCTTTTTTTCCTTTTAAAAGGTCACCTTGGCTTCAGAGCTTTCAACCTACTTTGAAAGCTTACCGTATTATGAACTTTTCCTCATGTGGTGAAATAATCTTTTAAATTTCATTCTTTTAGAGTATATTTTTTACTAGTTTTAAGGTATTCCTTTCTATGGCTTTACTGTAATTTAGTTAACCAATTCTCTGTTGTTGATTATTTAAAATTTTGCCTCATTATAAATAAGGCTTTAGTGAACATATTTACATAACCCTTTTAAAATTCACCTGGGATGATTTCCTCAGGGTAATTTCCTAGGTCAAAGGCTTTTGCAACTCATTGCCAAACCAGACTTGAGGGAAGGTAGTGTCATTTTTCTTTGTTGACATCAGCAGTGTTTGAGAGAGGTGGTTGGTGGTGGACTGATTTTTTGTTAATGCAATTGATTTCTATTTAGAAGGCTAGACATCTCCTGCCACCTGCCCCACCCTTCTCTATTTTCTGGATTCTCCTTCCCTGCTATCCTCTTAGGGTGCTTGTGAACATTCCTTTGCTCTTGGACAGTTACAGGCTCTTTTTTTTTTTTAATTCTGTAAGTTTTAGGGTACATGTGCACAACGTGCAGGTTAGTTACATATGTATTCATGTGCCATGTTGGTGTGCTGCATCCATTAACTCATCATTTAACATTAGATATATCTCCTAATGCTATCCCTCCCCCAGGCTCTATCTTTGAATATGGAGCAAGCTGCAGTCAGGGGCCATCTAAGCAGCCAACTGTGGGAAGAGCGCAAAGGGCGGAGCCTGTGGGAGATTCTCTTGTCGGGTGGGCGAGGGTGTGGAACTCTGGCCTCGTCCCCAGCCTTTTGGAACTGAGCTTTCCCAAAAGACAACTGGGGCCTCACGGGAGCCTTACAGGGCTTCTTGGAGGTCAGATTGCCTGAGTATTGAGGTTATGAACCTACCGCTTATATATATGAGTTTTTAGATAGCAGAAACTTTTCTTCTTGAAAGATTATTGTTTGAAGCCTTTCAAATATGTTCTTCCTGTTTATGGAAAAAATACCATATTAACCAAGATACCAATCACTGGATGCTAGGAATAATGGGACGATCAGGACTTTGGGATTGTGGGGTGTAAAACTTGCTCTACAATGATGTGACCTTGTTAAAAAGCAGAATGTTTCTGCAGTTGTGTGCTGGCTTTTCATTGAGCTTAGAATAAAGCCAGTCTGATCCTCCTTAACAAAACACCACGTGGTCCGGCACCTGCCACCGTGACTCATCTCCTCCCACCCTTGCCCCGGCCTCTGTGCTCCTGCACTGTGGGCTTCCTGCTCATCTTCAGAAAGAGCAAGCATGGTGCCACCGCAGGGCGCTTTTATGAGCTGTTCCTTCATCTTAGAATGCTCTTGCCTTTCGTCATCATATGACTTCCTGTCATTCCCATCTCTGCTTAAATGTCATTGCCCCAAAGAAGCTGTCCTTGGTGACTCAAAGAGAAACAGACAACCAGCGTTCTGCATCACCAGATTTTTTTCTGTGCGTAGGACTCATTGCCATGTGAAATTTTCCTCTTTTGTCTGCCTTCCATCCCAGAGTCTATGTTCCATGGACATAGGAACCTTAGTGAACTTGTTTGTCATGGTGTCCCCACTGCCTAAAACAATAGATAGCTAATAATTGACACTCCATAAATATTTGTTGAATATATGAGTAGTGCAGCGGGTCAGGCTAAACCCCTTTATAGGTTGTTAAAAGCAAGTATCCTCAATAGACTCATTTGGGGTCTGAAGATCTGAGCTTTAGTCTTAACCCCATATCCACTAATTCTGTGACGTTGGGAAAACCACTTATCATCTCTGAATCTCAGTGTACTTATCTGTAAAATAAGAATCATAGTACTTACACAGAGAACCTCATATGGTGGTTGAGAGGAATAGCTGTGACAGTAGATGTGCAAGCTGTCTGTAAGCTTTTCAACAAATGGACATTATCTCTACTGGTTTATTACAAGTAATTACAGGAGACTACCATAGGGTGCTTCCAAAGCTTGGAAAAAGGGAAAATACAGCCCACTACAGAGAGAAGACTTTTATATCAGTGCACGATGGATTAGAAACATGTATTTTGGTGCGCACTTGATTGAGGATAATTTAATTGGAGGCTTTAATCATACCCTTGGAAAGATTTTGCCGATCAGAAAGGGAGTTGGTTTAGTCAGAATTAGACAAGGAAACATCCAAAAGGCAAATCCTGACAATTCCCAGTCAAGCATTGGCTGAGGAAAGATGTCCTGGTTCAGCAATTTGCTTTGTCATGTCAGGTGGCAGAATATCCCTGTGGAGGAGACAGGTGCCTCCAGCTTTCAGAGCTTGAAGTCACTGAAGATCCAGGTTCTTGAACCAGGGCCAGTGTCCTGGCCCTGATTTCTTTCTCACCAAGCTCTCTGAGTGCATAATTTGACTTCTTATGTGGCTGACTTAGAGAAGATACGAGGCCCCACATTCTGGTAATATAGATCTGTCTCTATGAGCTGGGTTAATGTGTGTCTACCCCTAGACACAGATCTGTCTCAGGGTGCTGACAGATGAGGCTCCTGACCCACAAAGCGGAGGACCCAGACCCTGGCTGAGGTGACTGTCAGTGTACAGCCACCTTGAAGGGGATGTGGCTGGATGACCAGCTGCCTCGATCAGGGACTCCCACTCGGTAGCATAACTTTCCATCTGCAATGTGGTGATAGTTTAATTTGACAGTTTATTTGGTTAGAGGTTCTTTTTTTTTTTTTTTTGAGATGAAGTCTCGTTCTGTCACTCAGCCTGTAATGCGGTAGCTCGATCTCAGTACTCACTGCAACCTCTGCCTTCCTGGTTCAAGTGATTCTCCTGGCTCAGCTGCCTGAGTAGCTGGGACTGCAGGCGCCTGCCACCATGCCTGGCTAATTTTTGTATTTTTAGTAGAGACGGGGTTTCACTATGTTGGCCAGGCTGGTCTTGAACTCCTGACCTCAGGTGATCTGCACACCTCAGTTTCCCAAAGTGTTGGGATTACAGACGTGAGCCACTGCACCCAGCAATTAAGAGATTCTTGAATGTAATTGGTATTTTGTGTGTGCATATGAGGGTTTATCAGTCTTAGCGTAATAGTTTAGGGTAGACATACTAGAAGGGGCCAGGAGGTGGCAGTAAAAGATAGCTAGTCATTTAAGCAATTCAAATTAGACCAAATTAGCCTAATATTCAGCCTCTCCAGGGCAATTTACGAAGTATTGAGATTGGAGGAGGCAGGATGGGTGTTGCTTCTAGACCAGAGAGAGAGAGTCTACCAAAGTAGCCATTCTCATCCCAGCTTTCATGATTTCCCTGAATCTTACTTTAAACTGTTTTTCATTAAATTTTCCTGTGAAATTAAAAAAATTCTCAACTTACTCTAGTTTTCAGATTTTATGTAGAACATGTTTTTATATATAGGCTGTAGGTTGGATTGTCAGTGGATTTCAGCAGTGAGGGTCTCCCAGCCCCTTAATTTCTAGATAAGGTGGACCTGACTCTCTATTCCCTAGATGGAGCGGGGCTCAGTGCTGTCCTGAGACATTTATTCCTGAACCGCTTCTGTCCCTCACCTCATGCATACATGGAATTGGTTCTGTTTGGGGATCATATCACTGTCCCCACTGAACATCACCCTGGCTCTCATGTGGCATTTGGCTATTTTTCTTAATTTGTACACACACACCATGCATGACACACACAACCACCAACAAAAATCATTTAGATGCAGCGTGTGTTAGAGGACTTTAATAAAGGTTTAGGAGACAATTCCACAAGCAGCTTAAAATTGGTGGTCGGACCTCCCGGGTCCCTCTGCCATGTCTGACACTCAGACTCTGGCCTCTGGCCATGCTGTTCTGTCTTCTCTATCTAGCTCCTTTTTCTGCCTTTTCCCCCCTTAGGAACAAAGCTCATCCTCTACTTTTTTTTTTTTTCTAAACAGACCAATCTTTCAAAAACACAAAATAAATCATATAATTTTCTTATTTGATTTCCCAGGTCTTCCTCTATAAAGTCGTGCTTCGTGGCTGACGAGTGTGACCCTTTCTGATCATGCCTTTCCCGTCGCTGAAGTTGCATCACCATTCCCGTCTACACTTTTTCCTCCCCAGCTGCGCTGGGATGGTTCATTTCTTCATGCTTTGTCTATGCCATTGCTTCAGGTTTTCTTTACCTAGTTAATTCCTCCAAAACATCTCACTTCTGAGCTGCTTCCCCTGAGTCCTCAGGTTTAGAGGGAGCCTCCCTCTGCTCCTTCATGGCTGTAATGAATTACTTTTCATTGGGAGAGAGAAGCTGAGTGTTCCAGTCCTAAACTGTTACTAATTTTGTGACACAGGGCATATTAAGGGAGGCTAGACGGGCTAGATGATTGTGAGTTATGTAAGTGCTGACCTTCCTCAAATGTAACTGTGATCATTGAAAAAGTGATGGTCATTTAATTCACATCAGTTCATCAAAGTTTCATTAGGTCTCCATAAAGAAATTTCTACTCGCTAATTCGCTCTCTAAATGTTGGGTGCCAGGTGCTGTGTCGGGCCACAGGGACAGAGAGGAAGTGGAGATTTCCAGAGGGAGGATGCATCCACAGTTCTGGAATTCGGGGGAAATATCAAAGTTAGCGATACGTATTTGGGATTCAACAGTGAGAATATGGGCTTGGCGTGGTGGCTCACCCCTGTTATCCTGCACTTTGGGAGGCCGAGGTGGTTGGATCACAAGGTCAGGAGTTCAAAGCCAGCCTGGCCAACATGGTGAACCCCATCTCTACTAAAACTACAAAAATTAGCGGGGCATGATGGTGGACGCCTGTAATTCCAGCTACTTGGGAGGCTGAGGGAGGAGAATTGCTTCAACCTGGGAGGCAGAGGTTGCAGTGAGCCAAGATTGCGCCACTGCACTCCAGCCTGGGCGACAGAGCAAGACTGCGTCTCAGGTGGGGGGGGTGGGAAACAGTGAGGATATGGCCATTAAAGCTATTGGGAAGGGTGCCAACTGGGGAAAATGTATGGAAGATCTGCATAGATCACTGGAGCCTTGGATACATCCTGCTTTTCAAACATTTCTTCTGTGAAAGGGAAGATGTTCTGAGTGCAACTTTCCTATTCTGAAGGATTAAAAAATTATTTTGTATCTTATTTTTAAAAAAATTTTTTTTGAGATGGAGTCTTGCTCTGTTGCCCAGGCTGTAGTGCAGTGGCATGAGCTACCGCACCTGGCCATATCTTTTATAATTGGTACATTGTAAATCTTTTTTTTTTTTTTTACATACCCCAAGGACTGTGACAATAGCAGAGGGCACATTTTATAATGAATCTACATATTAAATAAATATATAGATAAAATGTACAAACAGCTTTCCCCTGGAATGCTAGCAAATTTGAAAATTAGCTGAGGATTTATCTTTTGAGGGAGCTTTGATAACTGGCAGTAACGTTTTTTCTCTTCTACTTCCTACACTATGGGATAGGGTGGTGTTAAGTTTTGTTAAAAGTGCGGGCAGATCACGAGGTCAGGAGATCGAGACCATCCTGGCTAACACGGTGAAACCCCGTCTCTACTAAAAATACAAAAACAAAAATTAGCCGGGTGTGGTGGTGGGCACCTGTAGTCCCAGCTACTTGGGAGGCTGAGGCAGGAGAATGGTGTGAACCCGGGAGGTGGAGCTTGCAGTGAGCCGAGATCATGCCACTGCGCTCCAGCCTGGGCAACAGAGCGAGACTCCATCTCCAAAAAAAAAAAAAAAAAAAAAGTTGTTTGTAGCACTATTTGTGGAAGTATTTTTAGCAGAACTCTGCAGAGAAGCTTGGAGCTTGGTTTCTCTGGTAGGGAGTATTAGATTGGGTCTGGGTCGCCGCTGATCTTTGCTCTCAGACTAGCAGAGCATTGTTTCTTCACAACTAAGTTGTGCTTATCAAAATGATAGCAGTCTTTAGCTAATAAAATGAAAGGTCACTTCTGTGGCATAAGATTTCTCTTTGAAATTCCCTGCATGTTCTCTTTTTGGATAACTCAGTGATGAATGTCAGAATGAATTTGGAACATTACCTTTGAAATTCTGCCACAGAACAAACTGAACGAGAAAGGTGACTTTTTTTCTTTTCTATACCTGAAAATCAGAAAATATTAATGAAATTAGTATTTGGAAAATTAAAACAACAGAAAGGTAATTTCTATTTTTCCAAGAAAACTGCTATTTACACTTTGAAATATCTTTTTATATTTATATTTATTTATTTAGAGACAGGGTTTCACCCTGTTACCTAGGCTGAGGTGCAGTGGTACGATCATAGCTAACTACACCCTTGAACTCTTGGGATCAGGTGATCCTCCCACCTCAGCCTCTCAAGTAGCTATGACTGTGGGCATGCATTACCATGCCTGACTAATTTTTAAATTTTTTATAGAGACATGGTTTTGCTATGTTGCCCAGGCTGGTCTCCAACTCTTGGTCTCCAGTGATCTTCCTGGCTCAGCCTCCCAAAACATGATATATCTTTTAAAAAATGGGAAAAGAAAGTAGGGTATGGAACTTGTAACCTAGATCTCTAAAACTTGACTGGGCATAATTTTCTAGTGCTTGTTTTATATAGAGATTTCAGATCTCTGGCTCAGATACTAAACAGAATCTTTCAAGGAGAGGCTAGGATTCTCTGTGATTATTATCCCAGAAGGTGTTTAGGACCAGATGAATTTCAGAAGTGCTGTTGTAATTGCTAAAGATCACCATGGGGCATCTTGTTATAGAAAGATATTCTTCTTCATAGACTGCCAATTCCCAGCGATCTAAGGACTGATAAGCTAATTCATTATTCTGATCCTTGGCATTCTCCCCCTTCTCCCTCCCATAATTCGCCTCTCCATTTTTCTATTTTTCATGCTTTCTATGCACAAAGGCTGAGCAAGGAGGTGGGATTGTGCTGAGATAAGCCCATTTTGCTCATTGCCCCCTGCACATGCATTCAATTGGTAGTGAGGAGGAAGTTGAATATTTAGGGTTCAGGTGGGGGCTCTCAGTGCCTCCCCTTTTAGAATATTGCATTCTGGAAAATTAAAAGCATAAATGTAGAATTAACCCTAATGTATTCATCTCCCAGGTTCAACAATTATCAACTCCTGGCCAGTTTTCTTTCATCTGTACTCTCTCCCGTATTGTTTTGAAGCAAATCCCAGATATCTTATTATCTATGAATATTTCGGTAGTATCTCTAAAAGATAAGAACTGTTATATTCTTTTGAACTTCAGAATCTTCTAAGAAAACAGAACATGGCAGAGTGGAGCTATACCCTAACTAGGCAGAGCCTAGGATTAAGAGGAGCAAAGACAGTGACTTGAGGTTTTTCTTTAAAAGAGCTCAGAAAGGTAATATTTCTTCAATTTATTATTGAATGGTGCTTCTCTATGGTAAATCCATGGTAAATCCAGGTATATGAGTTTATGGGAGAAAAGAGAGCTTTAGCAAGGGATTTGAGAGTGAGCGAGGAGATAGAAAAGTGAAAATAATTGAAAGTTGGTTGTTCTTACATGGCAAAGTTTATAATAAAGCTTTGTGGAATGTACATTAGAGTCCTTTTTGAAAGACTTAATTGTTCACTGATTGGAGATTAAAAACCTGTCTAAGTGTAAGTAATCAGAGTTTTTTAGCTCAGTGTTTAAGTACCAACTGTTGTTGAAATAACGCCTGTGCACCTATCTAAATGGTAATGAAATGCCAGCAAAGTTATCCATTTGCTTTTTCTCATTCTACAACATAACAGTGAGAGGAAAGGGATAAGACATTTGACGTCTGATCCTTGTTTTGAAAGCTGGGGAGACAAACATATATCAGTTAGCATAAGATTCCTTTCTTTTTCCCCTCTTTTGAGGCATTAAACATTCTAAGGTTCGTTAAGATACAGTAGAAAAAATTTTTATAAATTTTCTTCTTGGATTAGAATCCTAAGGTTATTTAAAATTAATGCAGTGTAAACCTAAAGCTACTCTGGGATTTACTACTCTGGAACTTGACTGTTCAATTACAGATATTCTATGTAGTGTGAAGATAATTTCATGGTGCATGCTTGCAGAATGGAAGAGATGCCTGCTTGATGTGCTGTTATAAATATATACTGAAATGTAGCAAGTTGCAGCACAGTTATTTAAAATACCCCCTATTCCGTGCCTTCCCTTTCCCCCTTTCTCTCCTTCCCCCATAGTCCCCTCAGAATACCATGATCTTTGTTCATTCTTAACTAACTCATTATTGTGCTGAGGTAACTTGGTGTACGGACAACTTCTTAGATGCAGAAAATACTTGTATGTTTCTTTTAAACCAGGTTGACATATGGAAATCTGAATTTGTTGGATACTTTGAGGGGGGTAATTATTTGCTTTCTAAAGGGATTCTTTACTTTTTTGAAGGATTTGCAATAGAATCCTTTAATTAGTAGTTAATTTCCAATTCAGTCTACACATAGATTTTACAGAGCACTTCTTTTAGGCAAAGTGAGTGATGGACTGTATTAGTTTGTTTTCACACAGCTGATAAAGACATACCCGAAACTGGCAATAAAAAGAGGTTTAATTGGACTTACAGTTTCACATGGCTGGGGAGGCCTCAGAATCACAGAGGGAGGTGAAAGGTACTTCTTACATGGCGGTGACAAGAGAGAAATGAGGAAGAAGCAAAAGCAGAAACCCCTGTTAAACCCATCAGATCTTGTGAGACTTACTATCACGAGAATAGCGTGGGAAAGACTGGCCCCCGTGATTCATTTACCTCCCGCTGGGTTCCTCCTGCAACACATGGGAATTCTGGGAGATATAATTTAAGTTGAGATTTGGGTGGGGACACAGCCAAACCATATCATGGACTCTGCCTGAAAATGTGCTTTTTAGAATTTTCAGACATTTTGCCCTGTGTAAAGCTCCCTTCGGCCGGGCACGGTGACTCACGCCTGTAATCCCAGCACTTCGGGAGGCCGAGGTGGGCAGATCACAAGGTCAGGAGATTGAGACCATCCTGGTGAACATGGTGAAACCCTGTCTCTAATAAAAATACAAAAAAATTAGCCGGGCGTGGTGGCGGGTGCCTGTAGTCCCAGCTACTTGAGAATCTGAGGCAGGAGAATGGCATGAACCTGGGAGGTGGAGCTTGCAGTAAGCCGAGATCGTGCCACTGCACTCCAGTCTGGGTGACAGAATGAGACTTTGTCTCAAAAAAAAGCTCCCTTCTTGTCCCACATTATTTCATTAAGTCTTGCCTGGCTATGTGTGTGGAGTATTACTTTGCTTCTGCTGTGTGGGATCTTCTTCCCTGCATTTCTTGAATCAAGTACAAGATGTCAGCAGGTGATATCCTGAGGAACAAGATGGGCAAATAGGATTTAATATTCTACCTAGGTAAATTGTGTCCTCCAGCAACACATCTTTCCTTTAAAGAGGGACATTTTGGTGGTTTGAGCCCGTTAAGAAGCAATTTTCCAAAACCAAATTTTTCCATGTCTAACATGTTCAAAGAATAGTCACTCTGGGAAGTCAACTCTCTCTTGGGTTTCCAAGTTAATAACCACTCATTGTGACCTTGAAAGGATCAGTTTGGTGTTAAAGAAAAAGAAGAAACAGTTACCTGGGAGAGTGTTAGTTCATGGTTGCCCAGTGTAGAGCCCTTTCTACAGATCACTGGCTCCTCTCATTTAAGGACAAAGCAGGGGAGGCTGATGGGAGGCCAGGAGGCAATTTTCATGCAGCTGTTGAAGCTCTTTCTGGGGCTGACTCTTGACCTTGACCGAGACCACCTCTGGGAGCAGCTGAAAGGCTTCCCGAGATTGATGGTCCTTGGCACACTAAGTGCCTGTCTTCTTGTCCCTGTCTTTCACGTTACCTGCCCTTTATAGCAGAAAAAGGTATCTCTCATTGTGCCTGTGCTTCTTTGACCTGGTATTAGTTAGCTTGAAACAACTCAAAGAGCAAATCTGTTCATCTGGAGTTGCTCACCACAACACACCGCACCCTCATTTGATTTCAAATACCTTTGCATACGTTGTGCTCTTTGAGGCTGGATTTTCTGAGGACCTTTAGAGCTCGTTCCCTTTGTTTTTTTGGTTTGTTTCTTTGTTTCCTGCTTGAAATAACCTCTGTCAGCTCCCTTTAACAACTCCCTGGTCAGCTTCACACAGGCTCTGTTCCACGTCTGGCCTCAGTTTTGTGTGAATCTAGTAAACGTGGTGACTTGGAGACAGCTGACCCGATTCAAGTTCCGACCCTGCCACTTGTTACTGTGTGATCTTAGGCAAATTTTGTAACCTTTCTGTGCCCAGGTTCCTATCTGTAAAATGGGGAGTAATAGTAGTTCTCACCACAGAGAGAATGGAGCAAACACTGGTTTCTCCATCCTTAGTTTAAGAAATAAAATATTACAACATAGTTGAAACCTGATTGGGTTCCCTCCTGATTGTGTTTCCCACCCTGCCCCTAAATGGCAGCCACTATCCTGAATTTGGTATTTTTATTATTCTGTATCTGTTTATGCTTTTACTGTTTGTGTGATTATTGTTTTACATGGATATTGGTAAATAATAAGGCCCATGAGAGACGAGATGGAACTGTCTGAGAAGCCACGCCTGAAGGGTGTGTAGATCCCACTTTAGCAACTGTAGGTAGAGGAGAGTGCAAAGCTCTGCCATAGCTCTCATCAGGAGAGCACCAGGTTTTGGCTTTGTCCCCTTCTGTTTGGCTGCTGTCCCTCCAGGCCTGTTGATGGACCCAAGGAGCACAGCCTGGCCTCTTTGTATTGTTTTGTGCCTTCACGCAGAAAGGAATTATGCAGCCAGAAGTTTATAGCCCCAAATCACTCTCTAATCCACTCAAGTCTGTTCTTGCTTCATTTTACCAACATCTGCTTTGTTCGTTTCTAGTTTTAGGGATGTGATTAATGTTCCTCCAGCTTCTGACTCGTTGCCTTTTTTCCCCTTTCTGTCTCCCCTCTCTCCCTGGTTTGGTCTTACTTACTCTGAATACTCAGTCTTTGCATTTCCTGGAAGCAGCCCTAAAGCCTCTTCTGTGAACTGCTCACCAGCCAGATGCAGCGGGTTCCTGGGACCACCCCCTTTTTGAGCACCAGAGGGTCAACTACCGGATGTGCATGGCCTTGCCATCAACATGCACAACCAATTGTTTAGAGCATATTATTGCTGTACTATGAGTAGGGGATTTTGTGATATAGACCGTGCACAGGCAGGTAGATTACATGTGTCTGTCCCTCTTGGTCAGAGATTCAGCTTAGGATCTCCTAGTGGATGAGTCTGAGCTACTGGTTTCTGACCATTTGTCCTTCAGCAGGCCAATGACACTGTTGAGCTCAGAAGTGGGGACACTAGCTTCTCCCTGGTGGGGCTGCTTCTAGCTCTAGAGGTTTAGGTTGAATTGAAATGACACCAGTTGCTGTAGTCATTCATTTCCAGAATTCAATGCTAGAGATGACTGAATTCCTTTTGCTTCTTTAGCCCCTCTGGCCGGTCAAGCTTCACGTGAGGTGTCCCTGGTACCTCTCCCCCACACGCTGCTCTTCCTTCTGGGCTGTAGCACTTGCTGCTCTGGAGTATGTGGCAGCTGTTCCTCAGTTCTGCCCATGACCTCACTCCCTTCCCCTACCAGTCACATTTACTGACTTTGGTTTTCTGGGTGCTGATCCATCTCCTCCTGACCAAGCACGTTACAGAACTCCTGTGGGGCAATAGCTACCTTTTGTTCAGTGTGTCTGCAGAGCCATCATGATGACTCTGAGCACTGGTGGGTTGACCACCTCAGGACATTAGTTTCTCTTCCTCCTTCACCCCCGGCGGGGAGAGAAAATCTCCAAGTCTCTGTTGTAGCACTTCCACCTTATGTTGAGGTTCCTGGTCTGTATTATTCTTGATTCGTCTTTATATTTCCAGTACTTACCCCACATCTTATATATGAGAGGTTCTTATAAATAA